>NC_000009.12:106553885-106705400 GCF_000001405.40 Homo sapiens
ACTGCACACTAAAAGGATTATATACCATGACCAGTGGAATTCATCCCTGTGATGCAAGGACAGTTCAATATATGTAAATCAATGTATTATACCACATTGACAAAATGAAAGGAAAAATATCACAAGATTATGTCAATAGATACAGGAAAAGTATTGGACAAAGTTTGGCATCCATTCATAATTAAAGCTTCAACAAAATAAGTACAAAAAGAACTTTCCTCAACACAATTATAGCCATATATAAAATGCCCATGGCTAACATTATAATCAAATGTGGAAAAACTGAGAGCTTTCCCTCTAATATCTGGCACAAGGCAAAGATGCTCACTCTCACGACCTCTACTCAACATAGTGCTAGAAGTCATAGCTAAAGTAATTAGAAAATAAAAAATAATCAAAGGCATCTAATTGAATAAGAAGTATAATTATCTCTTTGCAAATGACATGATCATATATGTAGAAAACCCTAAAGACACAATAATTTTTAGAACAAATAAATGAATTCAGTAGATTTGCAAGATACTATTTCAACACACAAAATCAGTTGCATTTCTATACCCAAACAATAAACTATCCAAAAAAGAAGAAAACAATTTCATTCACAATAGCAACAAAAAGAATAAAATACTTAGAAATAAACTTAACCAAGGAGGTGAAAAAGAAAATTATAAAGCACTGATGAAGGAAATTAAAGACACTGAAAATTATAAAGCATCGAGGAAGAAAATTAAAGACATATATAAATGGAAAGATTTCCCATGGCCATAGATTGGGAAAAAATAATATTCTTAAATGTCCATACTGCCCTAAGTGATTTACTGATTCAATGCCATCCCTATCAAAATCCCAATGTCAATCTTCATAGAAGAAAAAATAACATTTCCAAAATGCATATGGAACCACAAAATACCCCAAATACCCAAAGCAATCATTAGAAAGAACAAAGTTGGAGACATCACACTTCTTTATTTTAAAGTATATTACAAACCTACGGTAAACAAAACAGCATGGTACTGGCATAGAAACAGACATATAGACCAATGGAACAGAACAGAAAACCCAGAAATAGAATAGAGAACCCAATGCATGGGTTCCTCCCAAAAGAAAATATAAGATGTTGAGTAAACATGTAAAAAACTTATCATCATAAATTATAAGGAAAATGCAAACTAAAGCACAATTACATACCACCAAACAACACCCACCAGTATGGTGAAGTTAAATTAACTGACATTATCAAATGTTGATGCAGATATGGAGGGAAAGGAACCCTCACATGCTGTCTGTAAGAATGTAGAGTAGTATAACCACTGTGGATGATTCTTTGATGGGGCATCTCCTAACTCTGAATGTGCACTTGATGACCAGCAGTTCCACTCCTAGATCATATTTAACACAAGAAGAAATCTTGGGAGGACACACCCCACCAGATACATATGTGCAAGTATGTGGTATACATATGAGCACAAAAGACAAGAACATAGCAACATTGTTACAATATCTAAAATTTGGACATAACCCAAATACTCACCAATAATAAAATCAGTTTAGTTATTTGTCACATATTCATATCATAGAATAGTAGGAAAATGAAAGAGTAACTACTTCACACAACTACATGGATCCATTTCACAAAATGTGAGGAAAATAAGCCAAAAATAAAAGAGTGTAATTTTATTTTCTTTCTCTCTGGCTCAAAAATAGGCTAAAACTAGTCAGGCGTGGTGGCTCACACCTGTAATCCCAGCACTTTGGGAGGCTGAGGCAGACAGATCACCTGAGGTCAGTAGTTCAAGACCAGCCTGGCCAACATGATGAAACAAAAGATACAAAAATGTACCAGGCATTGGTGGTGCTGTGGTGGGCGCCTGTAATTCCAGCTACTTGGGAGGCTGAGGCAGGAGAAGTCCTTGAACCTGGAAGGCAGATGTTGCAGTGAGCCGAGATCGTGCCACTGCACTCCTGCCTGGGCGATAGAGCAAGACTCTGTCTCAAAAAAGGGAAAAAAAAAAAAAAAAAAGGCTAAAACTAGTAATTATTACCTTTGGTAGTAGAGGGCATGAGGAAGGCTCTTAGGATACATTTTATGACCTGTGAGGTAGATAACTGGGTGTTTAACCTTCTAAAATTTTATCACTTTTGCAGTTTTCTGTGTATATGTTATTTTTTGATAAAAATAGTAGATATATCAAAATGTTTACAGTATGTATAACTGAGTTGTGGTATCATAGATGGTTTTTATTTTCTTTACGCTTTCATATACTTTTAAAATATGTAACGTTTAAGCATTTGAAAGTGATTTGCATTTTCTAATCACTTTGATGAAACCTTCTCCTCTTGATCTCTTTTGCCCTTTCCCTAAGTCTATGCCTTAGAACTGTCTTGTGTCAACTATTCCAGTGGTCTCTTGATCAGTCTTCTTGTCTCTATTCTTGTAAACAGGAGACAAAATTATCTGCCAAATGCTGGTTAGTTTTGTGGTCTTTAAGAGAATTCCTTAACTTTGAAGCAATTGCTCTTGGTAGCCCTTTACCTAGTCCTCATTTTTTTTTAAACCACAGCACACAAAACTAATGATACTCCTGTGAAACACATGAAAATGGAAATGTTTTCAAGTGATAGAAGCCAGACACGAAGGTCATGTGTTATATGATTTCCTTGTATGAAATATCCAGAATAGGTAAATCCATAGAGACAAAACACAGACTATTGGCTGCCAGGGACCGAGAGTAAGGGGGTATAGAGGGAAACTGCTTAATGGTTACGGAGTTGTTATCAGCTGAATTGTAATACCTCCTGCAAAAGAAAAATTGGTATGTTAAAGTTGTAACCCATAGTACTTAGGAAAGTAACTCTATTTGGAGACAGGGTCTTTACAGAGGTAGATAAGTTAAAATGCGGTCATTATAGTTGGCCCTCATCCAATGTGACAGATACCCTTATAAGAAGAGGAAATTTGGACACAGACACATACAAAGGGAGGACTACGTGAAAACACAGGGAGAAGACAGCCATTGACAGGCCAAGGAGAGAGGCCTGGAACAGATTCTCCCTCATGGCCCTCAGCAGAAACGAAGCCTGCTGACACTTTGATCTTGAAATTCCAGCCTCCAGAACTGTGAAAAAATGATTTTTTTGTTTTTTAATCCACCCATTGTCTGGCACTTTTTAATAGCAGTCCTAGCAAACTAACTCAGGGGTTTTGCATTGGAGTGATTGAAATGTTTTAAAACCAGATAAGGGTTGGTGTTTGCATAACACTGTGAATGTACTGAATGTCAGTGAGTTGGTTACTTCAAAGGAATTAATTTTATGTCATGTGAATGCCACTTCAATAAATTAAAAAGAAAAGACACGCCCCCCCCCCCACACCACCCAGCTTTCTTACCACACACCAGTCAGCCAGGCAATTTTCCCTTACAAATGAAAGCAAAAGACTGGAGGTTTATTCTCCAGAGAAGGTAAAAACAAAGATGCTCTGCACTGCCTTCAAAAAATCATGAGGAATTTTGAGAGGCCATTGTCAGATTAGCCCATCATTAAATGTTAAAATATATCAACTTACAATTAAATAAATTATATTATAGGCACAGACAGTAAATACTCAAAATCCTCACTTCCTAATAATTTTACTATCTTTTATTATTATCAACAGTTTTGAGGTTATTTGTATCTACTGTCTATCTGTGGTGGAAATACTTCATAATGATGTGACACTTCCCATCTCTTCTGAACTTTACTTCAGTGGTTATCATGTTGGTACCTTGACATTTTCTGTGGTGGAAATTTTTACTCCATGGAAATCATCAAAAACTACAAATCAGGACGCTTCTTTCCCCACTCCCTCCCTGCCTCCATTCTCAGAGCCGGTTGTTAAACCTCTACTAGCACCCTGCTGCTCACAAATGCTAAGTATCATGGAGGTAAATCACAGTCTTGGACAAACAAGAATCCCCAACAGAAACAGCCTTTGGAAATGCTCTTCCACATTTCCTCACTGTTGTCCTGGCTTCCTCCTTGTTCACCACAGTGCTGTTGCCCCTGGAAGCCACCTCACATCAGCCAGGGAGAGTGAGGGGCCTGGGCAACAGTCCTGCATGCTCAGGTGAGCTCGTGGCACCGACAGCTGGGGACACTCCCCACAGTGATGGCAAAACCATCTAGCGCTCGGGGTCTTTGCAGCTCCTGGCTGCCATGCTGGCAGCATCCTCTTGGCTGCCACTCGCTGTCCTGGCTCTCAGTTTCCTCTGTGTCAAGGCAGGAGCAGCAGGCACTGAGCCACTCTAAATGTTTGCTGGAGATGGAGCAACCTGGCCTGGTCGCAGCTGCAGCCGTGCTTCCTGCCAGAACCTCTCAGCGGCTGAGTCAGTGGGTTCATTGGTGGGATGGGAAGAAGCAGTCCATGAAAGGGCCTCCCAAGGTGAGCCTGGCTCTGACAGCCAAGCAAGGGATATCTGTTCTCCTTACCTGGGAAACAGACGTAGAGGTCAAAGGGTAGGCTTAAAGCCATAGTCATCATTCCCTATCTGGAGCCACCAAACCTGCCTCTCTCACTGGGGTAAAAGTGTTGACTTCTTTCTGAACAGGGAGTGGCAAATCAAAGGCATTGCAGCCTCTTTCATCACTGCCGATTGCTGATGCCAACCATGTGCCAAGTGCTTAATACGTCACCTTAAATCTTCTCATCCACCCTCAGAGGTAAGTGTTATTTTCCCTGTTTTACAGATGAAGAGAATCAGGCTGAGGAAATTACTTGAATAAACTCTCAAGGAGAGTTTGTGATACAGCCTGGATTCAGGCTCAAATTCCTCAGACTCCAAAGACAGTGCCCTTCCTGCTGTACTGCCCCTGTTCAGGCCCTCCCATCTGGACTGGTTCAGACCTTTCCATGTGGATGGCTGCTGCCTGTTCACCTCTCCTGCCCCTCTTCCCCTGCTTCCACACATCCTGCACACCACAGTCAAATTAATCTCTGTCTAAAGATCTAGATACAGATGCAGACAGATGCAGATATAGATATAGGCATAGAAATTGACATAAACATTGACTTAGACATAGACATGGACATGGACATGAACACAGACATGGACATTGACTTAGACAGAAACATGGATAAATATTTTGATGAAAGATTCAAAAGGTCAAGAATCATGTCTGATTCATTTTGTGTCCCTAGAATCTATCACAGTACCTGTTTCAGAGCAAGGAAGGTCTCCAAAAATACCGGTGGAATTAAGCTGAATGGACTATCGTTTCCCAAATAAAGTATTGGTGACTCCTACCAAATAATAGTATTAGGTACAGAGGCCTCACGTCAGCATCTGGAACTCTCCCCATCTGACCCCACCTGACCTTTCTCATATTAACTACACGTAGCCTACACTCTAAGCATACATGTCTCCTTCGTGTTCCCTAAGCCCCACCTTGAACTTTCTTACCCCCATGTCATTGTTCATAAGAGCCTCCATTTAAAGGGCCCTCTTTAGCCCCACCTATCCCTTCTAAAATGTCATGGCCCATTTAAAATACTACTTCCTCCTTGAAGTGTCTCTCTTTATCTCTTTATGAAATGTAATGTTTCTGTCTTCTGAATCCCTTAGAGCTGTACATCGTTCTATGGCCTAACCTTTCTCTGACATAGATTTTAATCACTGAGATAATAATTCATCTTGTCTGGAATGTCCTTCATCCAGACTCTTTTTTATGTTCATGATTCAGTCTAATATCACCTCCTCTGTGAAGCTTTTCCAGCTCTCCCAGGCCAGTTAGTCGCTCCCACCTAAATGCTTCTACAGCATCTGAACATCCTCCATTGAAGGACTGGTCATCATGGTTATGGCCCAATTGCTGTTATCTCTCAACTGCCAAGTGCCTCAGAGATATAGGTGGTACCTTCTTGGACTTTGTCTTTATGGCTTCCACCACAGTTTCAGCAGTAATTGGTAAACGAATAAGTGAAAGACAAGAAAGACACTGTCCCATTTTCCTGTGCTCCCAACCTTCTTTCTCTACCATTCTACCTGTTTGCCTTCTGTTATCAGTATGCTATTTGTAGGATCACAGGTGGAGGCATGGGAAACAAAAAAATAAGAAAAACTAAGCAGCACTCAAAAATATAGGAAAACACAACAGATCATCTGATCTGAGGGCACAAAAGCCAGGTTTTCAGTTGCAATTAGAATAAACGGTTTTCATCAAATGAGTTGGTGGCAATGACTGTTAATTTATTTGTAGTTTCAGTATTTCCCTCAAACAACAGCAACAATAAAAACAATAAAAAATAAAAATAAAAAAACTAGGGCCTGGCATGGTGGCTCATGCCTGTTATCCCAGCACTTTAGCAGGCAGAGGCAGGCAGATCACTTGAGGTCAGAAATTCAAGACCAGCCTGGCCAACATGGTGAAACCCTGTCTCTACTAAAAATGCCAATTAGCTGGGCGTAGTGGCATGCACCTGTAATCCCACCTGCTCGGGAGGCTGAGACAAGAGAATCACCTGAACCTGGGAGGCAGAGGTTGCAGTGAGCCAAAATCGAGCCACTGCACTCCAGCCTGGGTGACAGAGAGAGATTCTGTCTCAGAAAACAAAAAACAAACAAACAAAACCTAGAATATTATACTGGTTTATAATATATTTTGAACCCATTGTTCAAGATCACAGGTATGTCCTTTAGAGGAACAGCTGACTTGTGACATATGGGCAAGGAAATGTGTATTTTTATTAGAAGGTTATCCCTAGGCAGAAGCTGATAAGAAACACTTAAATGAATAGAGAGCACCAACTGAAGAGGAACACAAAAGCCTTACTTGCAGGTGATGTATCTGTCATCTTACCTCCCACCACTTGGGGCAGCATAAAATGAGTTTTCCTGATTGATTTTAAAGACAAAGCAGTTAAAAACAAAACAGTCAAGTCACAAATTCAACATCGCAAAACAGACAAATAGATTTGTGGTTGCTGCCTCTGGTTTTCTAGAAAGAAAAGCAGAGGCAGTAGAAGAACCATAAGCAGTAGACAAACTGGCCTTATCACCAGGGTCCTAATATGTCTTTTTTCCTCCCTTCTGTGCCTTTACCCTGGACCATCTCTTCTACCTAGGAATCCCTGCTTCATATAATTTAATGAGCATATTAGCAAACATTAGCTAAATCCTCCCAAAGATCTTTATGAGGCTGGTGTCCTCATCCCTATTTTACAGATGAGGCTAGTTGTTAAGACTTCACAGTCCTATAGCTGCTGAACCTAGGTCTGAAATCCTGGACTTTCCTGTTTCAACAGCTGTCTCCACCGTTTTCCTTTGTAAAACGCATACCCAAGGCACAACTCAAGGACATCTCAAAAGTGTCCTGATCACTCCTGGAAGGAGACCTTTTGTTCCCGAAATGTCTGTGGACTCTGATAGCAGTACTTTTAGTCACAAGCATTAATAATAGGCAAATGCTCCTTGTCCCGGATGCCCATGAGAAGTCAGCTTCTTGAGGGCAAGGATTGCGCATCTTTCTAGCCTTTATCTATGAATTCAATATTTTCCCTGAGAAATGCATGTCAGATATTCAAGAAAGTCAGAGAAACCTAGGGTTACTTTCAGCAATTAAAGCCTCTGGCCATAATTTGATGAATTAAAACTGCATGAAAGCAGAAGAAGACATTGAAAGTGCTTTGCTTATATAAATGCATTAATTATTGCTCTATATTCTAGCTTTCATATGAAGTTACAATTGATATTAAACTCATGGAGGAAATGTAAAGACCCCAAAATGGCTAAACTATGTAAACTTGTGGCCCATATTGAGCTGGAGACACAAGTCAAAAGGTCTTCCTACTCACATAACTTTACTTACCTTAGTCTGTGGCATATAATCATGCTTAATAAACATTAATTTGATAGACAGATGGGTTGGTAAATGGACACAGTGATGCATGAAACATATAAGTGAGTATGTAAACAAATAAAACAATATTGCTTCTTTTTAGTAATGATTTTTGAGGAATATTAATAATAATGCTTTAAACCAAAAACAAACTAATCCAAACAATGCCATCCCTGGTAAGTTGTCTACAAACAAAGCAAAGCTCTCATGATCTCTGTAATTCTGTTTTGACAGTATGGCTTCTGTGTCTGAAATATCTACAATCCCTTTGTTTACAATAGCACCTTAACTGGGTGATTTAAATGAGTAGAGATTGCTTTTACATTTTTCTACAATTATTTAAATGCACATTTCAATTTTCCTGAATTGTGCAAAAGTAATTTGGAAGATTAATTTCTGAAAATACCTGCTGGAATTTGCATACACCAAGCATAATTATTATTGATATTTGCATAGTTCTCCCTGCCCACGTGCATGCACTATTACCAACTGTTATATAACCCATGAAATTATTGAAGAAGTTGCTGTCAGTACAATATGGATTCATCAATAAATGTTCAGCCTCACAGAAGAAAAACAAACTTCACTGTTCAGCTGTAGAAATGTGTCATTTCATTTTATTTATTTATTTGGGGGCAGAATCTGCAAAGATAAATCCAAAGCAAAATAATGTGGCAGTCTTGTGCAATAAAGATTAATGTTACTGCAAAGAACCTCTGAGATTCCTAAGAGGTTGAAAACCCCATTGAAAAAGCTAGAAAAGCAATTAGGAATTGGGAAATCTTCGTGGGGAAAAGAAATAGTCCGGGCTTGGTGGCTCATGCCTATAATCCCAGCACTCTGGGAGGCAGAGGTGGGCGGATCATGAGGTCAGGAGTTCGAAACCAGCCTAACTAACATGGCGAAACCCTGTCTCTAAGTACAAAAATTAGCCGGGCATGGTGGCACGTGCCTGTAATCCCAGCTTCTTAGGAGGCTGAGGCAGGAGAATAACTTGAACCCAGAAGGCAGAGGTTGCAGTTAGCTGAGATCGCGCCACTGCACTCTAGCCTGGGCAACAGAACAAGACTCCATCTCAACAAAACAAAAAAAACAAAGTAAATATACCCTTGCTACAGAGGGTTGGGGTATTAGAGTGTAGTCAGAGAGCTATGCCACACATGGCTAGAAAGAAAATTCACAGAGATTTGGACTGTGGGAATCACAAATTCTTGATGAATGTATGGACAGGTTAATTAAATGCTTATAAGGTGTTACACAGGAATGTGACATTTCTTTCCTTTAATCTGCTTGGATGGCAAAACCAAATGGAAAGAAATATGGACAGAAATTACGCAGGAGAAAAATAATAGAAAATACTTTTATAACACCTATCATGTGGTAGGCATTCCTTTTTTTTTTTGAGACAGAGTCTCGCTCTGTTGCCCAGGCTGGAGTGCCGTGGCACGATCTCAGCTCACTGCAACCTCCGCCTCCCGGGTTCAAGCAATTCCCTGCCTCAGCCTCCCGAGTAGCTGGGACTACAGGTGCCTGTAGTAGGCATTCTATTAATAGCTATATATATGTATATATTTAATTCTTATAATAAATAGTTATAAGAAGAATATTTAATTCTCATAATAAATATTCATTCATTCATTTAGTTCACCAACTTCGGAAACATTTTGTGTATTTGGCATGTTATAAGGGACTGTGAGAAGCTACAGAGATACACAGATCAAGTTCTTACCCTCAAGCAGCTCACAGCCAATGACACACAAGAGATGTCAAATGTATTTTATAAATATGTATATTGTATATATGGGGGAAATAACAATTGACTCTGCTGAGAACTGGAAGGAAGTTCTTAGAGGAAACAAGAGTGGTGTTTAAAAAAATAAATAGGCAATTTCCAAATCAATAAGAACAGAAAACCATGTTTGTATGTTGGGCATCATGCACAAAAACATGGTGCTATGAAATGGCATGCCTTGTTTATTACATCATAAATATCTCATTGCAGCTGGCAGTGGGAGAAGAGGAAAAGACACAGATGACCAAGGCCTTGAATGCCTTATGGGCAATATTGAGCCACTGAAAGATTTTAACCTGTTTCCCATTTAGAAAAAAAATAATGTAGCTCACTGCCAGCACTCATTGAATTTTACATAAACACACTCTTTGAGGGTCAAGCAAATCTGACCGATTTTCAATGTGAAAATAAAACATAAAAACCATTCTTGGAGTTATTTCAGACAGAACTAATATAAAAATTGTCTGAATCATCAGAACCATCTATTTCAGATAAATCAGATTCATCAAATGAGTCTTTGGCCAACAACTGTTCGAGGACGATGGTAACATCACAGGTAGAAATGCTATTTTTTCTAGGATTTGACATTTTCAGTGATCAATAATTACTATATTTCATAAATGGAAATACCACTACTAAAAACAGAATGATATAAATACAGTGATGTCTTTTGTTCCCAAAGTCAATATACGAGAGTGAGGCAAAAATGATAATAAAAGCCAGATATTTCATGGCAAAGGTTATCACACGGTAAACATTGCAGTGGCAAGTGACTCTGGCAAAGTATTCTCAAGGCAAATGGGAAAAGTCAAACAATAAAAATGACATGGATAGGTCCCATCTTGAAAGGATCTCTCCAGGAACTATAGAGAGAATGGGCTTATAGCATTAATTCTAGAGGAAGGTAAGTTGTTGCAATTTAAAATATGACCAAGGAATAAAATATCATATTATATATGTATATTATATAGGTACAATATATGTATAATATAATGGTGTATAATAAATATATATTATATTTATAAAAATATATTATGTATTGTACATATATAATATATATTGGTGAGAATGTAAGTTGTTGGAATTTAAAATATAACCAGGGAATAAAATATCATATTATATATATGTATAATATAATGTACTATAGATAACATATATTATAAATATATGCATATAATATATAGTATGTATACTATATATTATATATTTATACAATATATAATATATACAATATATACTATAGTAGGTATATAATAGATACATATATAATATATATAACATGTATATAATGTATATTATACAAATATATATTATATGTATATTATATATGTGCCTATCATTGGCTGTTATATCAAGAAAAGTTTCAATTTCTCAGGGGGTGGGGCCAAGATGGCTGACTAGAAGCAGCTGCGATCAGAGGCTCCCATCAAAAAGAACCGTAATCAGCATGTGAATCCTGCACCGGCAACCCAGGTATCCATGCTCTCTCATCAGAATAGTCTAGGTGACTGGCATGATCCACAGAGAGGAGGGAAGAGAGCTGTGGTGCGGGGGCCCACCTGAGAGCCACACAGGGCAGGGGAGCCCCTACTCCCTAGCCAAGGGAGGTGGTGAGTGAGTGTGCTACCCAGCTGGGGAAACCGTGCTTTTTCCATGGAACTGTGCAACGCATGGATAGGAAAATCCCACTCGCAAACCCATGCCACCAGGGCCTAGGTTCCCAACCCTGGAGCCACGCAGATTCTCAACAGACTCTGCCTGCTGTCTAAGCCATTTGAGCTCCTTGCGGGAGGAGCAGCAGCCAGCACTGGAACACATAACTGCCTAACACACGAAGCGGGGAAGGGTGCCATCCATCTCTATAGTTCCGGGCTGCACTATTCCCTTGTTGGAGCCAGGGAGGCTGGATGGCTTGGTCCCAAGAGCTGTCCCCCATAGCCCAACACACCTGCTGTGACAGACTGTGGCCAGAGAACCTCTTCAGGCCTGACCCTGACCCATCCTTCCTTACTAGGCAGGGCCTCCCTGCAGGAACTCCAACAACTCCAGCCAGAGGCTCAGGGACAGGACCCTGATCTCCCTGGGCCTGATCCCCTAGGGGCAGGGGTGGCCACAGTCTCTGCTGACTAGCAGACTTAGCCTTTTCTCCTGGTAGTTCTGAGAAAGCCAGGCAGCCCAGACTAGTGGGTTCCCCCTGAGTGAAGCACACCCCCTCCACAAAGAGACAGTCAAAGTGCTTTATTAAACAGGTCCTGTTCCCCTGCCACCAAACTGGGTGAGACCCTCCAACAGGGTTGTAAGATGCCCTAGATAGGACTGATCCTACTAGCATAAAGTTGGTGCCCCTCGAGGTCAAAGATCCCAAAAGAAGGAGCAGGCACTCATCTTTGCTGTTCTCCAGCCTCCTTGAGTGACATCTCCAGGCCTGGGAGCAAAACAGATGAATAGGGCCTGAAGTGAACTCCCAGCAAACCACAGCAGCCCTACAGAAGAGCGACCTGACCATTGAAAGAAAAACAAAGAGAAAGCAACAATAACAGCATCAACAACAACAAAAAAAGCCCCCACAAAAACCCCATCGAAGGGTCAGCAGCCTCAAAGATCGAAACTAGACAAATTCATGAAGATGAGAAAGAATCAAGAAAAAACAACACTTGAAACCCAAAAGGCCAGAGTGCCTCTTCGCCTCCAAATGATTGCAACACCTCTCCAGCAAGGGCACAGAACTAGATGGAGGATGAGATGGATGAATTGACAGAAGGCTTCAGAAGATGGATAATAAAAAACTCCACTGGGAGCCAAAGAAGCATGTTCTAACCCAATGCAAATAAGCTAAAACCTTGATAAAAGGTTAGAGGAGCTGCTAACTAGACTAACCAGTTTAGAGAAGAACATAAATGACTTGATGGAGCTGAAAAACACAGCAAGTGAACTTCAGGAAGCATACACAAGTATCAATAACTGAATCCACCAAGCCGAAGAAAGGATATCAGAGTTAGAAGACCACCTTGCTAAAATAAGGCATGCAGACAAGAATAGAGAAAAAAGAACGAAAAGGAACAAAGAAAGCCTCCAAAAAATATGGGACTATGTAAAAAGACCAAACCTAGGGTTGATTTGAGTACCTGATGGAGATGGGAGAATGGAAACAAGCTGGAAAACACACTTCAGGGTATTATACAGGATAACTTCTCCAATTTAGCAAGACAGGCCAACATGCAAATTCAGGAAATACAGAGAACACCACTAAGATACTCCACGAGAAGATCAACCCCAAGACACAAAATCTTCAGATTCTCCAAGGTCAAAATGAAGGAAAAAATGTTAAAGGCAGCCAGAGAGAAAGGCCAGGTCACCTACAAAGAGAAGCCCATCAGACTACAGCGGACCTCTCAGCAGAAACCCTACAAGCCAGAAGAGATTGGAGGCCAATATTCAACATTCTTAAAGAAAAAATTTTCAACCTAGAATTTCATATGCAGCCAAACTAAACTTCATAAGTGAAGGAGAAATAAAATCCTTTCAAAACAAGCAACTACTGAGGGATTTTGTCACCACCAGGCCTGCCTTACAAGAGATCCTGAAGGAAGCACTAAATATGGAAAGAAAAAAATAGTACCAGGCACTGCAAAACCACACCAAAATATAAAGAACAATGACACTCTGAAGAAACTGCATCAACTAGTGTGCAAAATAACCAGCTAGCATCATGATGGCAGGATCAAATTCACACATACTACTGACCTTAAATGTACTGACGAAATGCCCCAATTAAAAGACACAGACTGTCAAATTGGATAGAGTCAAGACCCATTGGTGTGCTGTATTCAGGAGACCCATCTCACATGCAAAGACACACATAGGCTCAAAAGAAAGGGATGGAGGAAATTTACCAAGAAAGAAAATTTACCAAGCAAATGGAAAGAAAAAAAAAAAGGGTTGCAAACCTAGTCTCTGACAAAACAGACTTCAAACCAACAAATATCAAAAAAAGACGAAGAAGAGCATTATGTAATGGTAAAGAGAACTATTCAACAAGAAGAGCTAACTATCCTAAATATGTATGCACCCAATACAGGAGCACCCAGATCCATAAAACAAGTTCTTAGAGATCTGCAAAGACACTTAGACTCCCACACAATAATAGTGGGAGACTTTTTTTATTTTTATTGTTTTTGAGACAGAGGCTTGCTTTTGTCACCCAGGCTGGAGTGCAATGGTGCCATCTCAGCTCACTACAACCTCCACCTCCTGGGTTCAAGTGATTCTCCTGCCTTAGCCTCCTGAGTAGCTGGGATTACAGGTGCCCGCCACAACGTCCGGCTAATTTTTTTGTATTTTTAGTAGAGACGGGGTTTCACCATGTTGGCCAGGCTGGTCTCAAACTCCTGACCTCAGATGATCTGCCCTCCTCAGCCTCCCAAAGTGCTGGAATTTCAAGCATGAGCCACTGTGCCCAGCAATAGTGGGAGACTTTAACTCCACACTGTCAGTGTTAGATCAAGGAGACAGAAAATTAACAAGGATATTCAGGACTTGAACTCAGCCCTGGATCAAGTGGACCTAATAGACATCTACAGAACTCTCCACCCCAAATCAACAGAATATACATTCGTCTCAATGCCACATGGCACTTATTCTAAAATTGACCACATCATTGGAAGTAAAACACTCCTAAGCAAATGCAAATGAATGGAAATCATAGCAAACAGTCTCTCAGACCACAGTGCAATCAAATTAGAACTCAGCATTAAGAAACTCACTCAAAACCACACAATTACATGGAAGTTGAACAACCTGCTCCTGAATGACTCCTGGGCAAATAATAAAATTAAGGCAGAAATCAACAAGTTCTTTGAAACCAATGAGAAAAAAGCAACAACATACCAGAATCTCTGGGACATAGCTAAAGCAGTGTTAAGAGAGAAATTTATAGCACTAAATGCCTACATCAGAAAGCTAGAAAGATCTCAAATCATATCCTGACATCACAATTAAAAGAGCTAGAGATGCAAGAGCAAATTAATTCAAAAGCTAGCAGAAGACAAGAAATAACTAAGATCAGAGCAGAATTGGAGGAGAAAGAGGCGTGAAAAAGCCTCCCCCAAAAAATCAATGAATCCAAGAGCTGTTTTTTTGAAAAAAAAAAATAATAATAATAATAACAAAATAGACTGCAAGCTAGACTAAGAAAGAGGAGAAGATAGAAGATTCAAATAGACACAATGAAAAATAATAAAGGGATATCACCACTAAACCCACATAAATACAAACTACCATCAGAGAATACTATAAACACCTCTACACAAATAAACTAGAAAATCTAGAAGAAACGGATATATTCCTGGATACATACACCCTCCCAAGACTAAACCAGGAAAAAGTCAAATCCCTGAATAGACCAATAACAAGTTCTGAAATTGAGGCAGTAATTAGCCTCCCAACCAAAAAAGCCCAGGACCAGACAGATTCATAGCTGAATTCTTTCAGAGGTACAAAGAGGAGCTGGTACCATTTCTTCTAAAACTACTGCAAACATTTGAAAAGGAGGGACTCCTCCTTAACTCATTTTATGAAACCAGCATCATCCTGATACCAAAACCTGGCAGAGACACAACAACAACAAAAAAACTTCAGGCCAATCCCCCTGATGAACATTGATGCCAAAATTCTCAATAAAATACTGGCAAACCAAATCCAGCAGCACATCAAAAAATTTATCCATCATGATCAAGTCGGCTTCATCCCTGGAATGCAAGGCTGGTTCAACATTCACAAATCAATAAACTTAATCCATCACATAAACAGAACCAAAGACAAAAAATACATGATTATGTCAATAGATGCAGAAAAGGCCTTTGATAAAATTCAACATCCCTTCATGCTAAAAACCCTCAATAAACTAGGTATTGGTGGAACATATCTCAAATAGTAAGAGCCATTTATGACAAACCCACAGCAAATATAATAGTGAATGGGCAAAAGCTGGAAGCATTCCCTTGAAAACCGGCACAAGACAAGGATGCCCTCTCTCATCACTTCTATTCAACATAGTATTGGAAGTTCTGGCCAGGACAATCAGGCAAGAGAAAGAAAGAAAGAAAGTGTATTTAGATAGGAAGAGCAGAAGTCAAATTGTCTCTGTTTGCAGATGACATGATTCTATATTTAGAAAACCCCATCATCTCAGCCCAAAAACTCCTTAAGCTGATAAGCAACTTCAGCAAACTCTCAGGATACAAAATCAATGTGGAAAAAAAATCACAAGCATTCCTTTACACCAACAAAAGGCAAGCAGAAAGCCAAATCATGAATGAATTCCCATTCACAATTGCTACAAAGAGAATAAAATACCTAGGAATACAACTATCAAGGGATGTGAAGGACCTCTTCAAGGAGAACTATAAACCACTGCTCAAGGAAAGAATAATAGAGGACAAAAACAAATGGAAAAACATTCCATCCTTATGGATAGGAAGAATCAATATTGTGAAAATGCCCATACTGCCCAAAGGAATTTATAGATTCAATGCTATTCCCATCAAACTACCATAGACATTCTTCACAGAATTAGAAAAAAAAAACTACTTTAAATTTCATATAGAATCAAAGAAGGCCCCATGTAGCCAAGAAAATCCTAAGCAAAAAACAACAAAGCTAGAGGCATGATGCTACCTGACTTCAAATTATACTCCTACAGTATCCAAAACAGCATGGTGCTGGTACCAAAACAGACACATAGACCAATGGAATGGAACAGAGACCTCAGAAATAACACCACACATCTACAACCATCTGATCTTCGACAAACCTGACAAAAACAAGCAATGGGGAAAGGATCTCCTATTCAATAAATGGTGCTGAGAAAACTGGCTAGCCATATGCAGAAAACTGAAACTGGACCCCTTCCTTACACCTTATACAAAAATTAACTCAAGATGGATTAAAGACTTAAATGTAAAACCCAGGCAATACTATTCAGGACATAGGCATGGGCAAAGACTTTATAACAAAAGCACCAAGAGCAACTGCAACAAGAGCCAAGATTGATCACTGGTATCTAATTAAACTAAAGAGCTTCTGCACAGCAAGAGAAACAATGAACAAGCAACCTACAGAATGGGAGAACATCTTTGCAAGCTACCCATCTAACAAAGGTCTAATATCCAGAATTTAAAAGGAACTTAAATTTAAAAGAGAAAAACAGAACCCCATCAAAAAGTGGGCAAAGGGTATGAACAGACACTTTTCAAAAGAAGACATTTACATGGCCAACAAACATATGAAAAAAAACTCAACATCGCTGATCATTAGAGAAATGCAAATCAAAACTACAATGAGATACCATCTCATGCCAGTCAGAATGGCAATTATTAAAAAGTCAAGAAACAACAGATGCTGGTCAGACTGTGGAGGAATAGGAACGTTTTTACACTTTTGGTGGGAATGTAAGGTTAGCCATTGTGGAAGACAGTATGGTGATTTCTCAAGGATCTAGAACCAGAATTACTATTTGACCCAGCAATCCCATTACTGGGTATGTACCCAAAAAATATAAATCATTCTACTATAGACACATGCACACGTATGTTTATTGCAGCACTATTTATAATAGCAAAGTCATGAAACCAACCCAAATGCCCATGAATGATAGACTGGATGAAGAAAATGTGGTACATATACACCATGGAATACTATGCAGCCATAAAAAGGAATGAGATCATGTCCTTTGCAGAGACATGGATGAAGCTGGAAGCCATTATCCTTACCAAATTAACGTAGGAACAGAAAACCAAACACCGCATGTTCTCACTCATAAGTGGGAGTTGAACAATGAGAGCACATAACACATGGACACAGGGAGGGGAACAACACACACCCAGGGCCTGTTGGGGGATGGGGAACAAGGGGAGGGAACTTAGAGGACAGGTCAATAGGTGCAGCAAACCACCATGGCACACATATACCTATGTAACAAACCTGCATGTTCTGCATGTGTATCCTGGAACTTAAAGTAAAATTAGAAAAGATTCATCATTAATGATAATGGATATAAATCCATATTTCAAAGTTTCTTTGATCAATACAGTATTTCTACAGGCTCCACAACTTTTTCAGAAAGAGCCCACCATCTCTTCCCTCCACCATCCTATGATCTTTCTCCTCTCAGTAAAAGACGTGATCAGTCGCCCAGTCCTCCAAACTAGACACCTGAGAGTCTTCACCAATGCCCCATTATCCTTTATTCCCTAAATCTATCCATTCATCATTTTCAGTTATTTCCTTGTCATCCACCCTTTTTAGTTATCTTTACCTTTTAAATACCACACATATCAGTCACAGTTTCTTTATCCTACTATGGCTGCCCTAATTTCAGTTGGCATTTCTTCCTCAGACTAAAACAGCCCTGCTTAAAATGCCAGCCCCACTGTTACTGCAATGTGACTTTGTACAAGTTGTTTAACCTGCTTAACTTCAGTTTACCCATCTGTAAAATGGGATAACAATAGATTTTTCAGAGTTGTTGTGGTCATCCAATGAGCAACACAGGTAATGTTTCTGTACAGTGCTAGCACATAGCAATTAATTGATGTACCCTATTCTTATATTTAGCCTTCCTATTGCCAGACTCATGTCTCACCTCCCACTCACTGCAGTATCAATCCATTCACCATAGATTATATAAAAGTGATTTCCCTAAAACACAAATTTGACCAAATTATTCTCATGCTTAAAACATAGATTTTTCCATACCTTTTCATCAACTACAAGACCAATCCAGATGTTTTGTAGGACAGAAAATGTTTTGAATGGATATCCTGTATTTCTATGTCCCATCCTACTGTTGCCACTCCTTAATGTGCCCTTTATTCCACAGATGTACTGAAACATTTACACCACTCCACATAAACCACATTCCCTCCCTCTTCTAAGCCTTTGTATTTGCTGTTTCCACACACAGAATACCTTTCCCTGTCCACTGTCACCATTCTTCCAACTCTCATGTTGCAGCTTACCCTCCTATGGTCAATTCACATGATGATTCTGATATGAATTCTTGCCTAGTGTCCTGTATCTAAGGATAGAGTTCATCATTCTCATCATTTGTGCTCCCAAGGCCCTCTCCCTGTTCCTTGGTCATAACACCCTGCATGCTGTACTGTAATCATCTCCTCTACCACAGCCCACAGCACCCTGTACAGTAATTACCTTAGAAGGTATTTGCCTCACGAGATTGTGTGCTCCCTGAAGGAAGAGTCTGCCTCACCCCAGCCTCAAGATCCAGCACAGCAACATCATGCTTAACAAGGGCTCAAAGAAGCCTTGGAGTGTGTCCCAGGTAACTAGGTTTTCAGTGACTTGTATGCTCATGTGTCTATGTGGGTTTTTTCCAGGAAACTGGCCAACATCCTGAAGTCAAACGTTTATAGGAAGCCTTTGGCTTTACTTTTTTCATTTATTTATTTATTATTATACTTTAAGTTTTAGGGTACATGTGCACAATGTGCAGGTTAGTTACATATGTATACATGTGCCATGCTGGTGCGCTGCACCCACTAACATGTCATCTGGCATTAGGTATATCTCCCAATGCTATCCCTCTCCCCTCCCCCCACCCCACAACAGTCCCCAGAGTGTGATGTTCCCCTTCCTGTGTCCATGTTAAAGACTTAAACGTTAGACCTAAAACCATAAAAACCCTAGAAGAAAACCTAGGCATTACCATTCAGGACATAGGCATGGGCAAGGACTTCATGTCTAAAACACCAAAAGCAATGGCAACAAAAGCCAAAATTGACAAATGGGATCTAATTAAACTAAAGAGCTTCTGCACAGCAAAAGAAACTAACATCAGAGTGAACAGGCAACCTACAAAATGGGAGAAAATTTTCGCAACCTACTCATCTGACAAAGGGCTAATATCCAGAATCTACAATGAACACAAACAAATTTACAAGAAAAAAACAAACAACCCCATCAAAAAGTGGGCGAAGGACATGAACAGACACTTCTCAAAAGAATATGCAGCCAAAAAACACATGAAAAAATGCTCACCATCACTGGCCATCAGAGAAATGCAAATCAAAACCACAATGAGATACCATCTCACACCAGTTAGAATGGCAATCATTAAAAAGTCAGGAAACAGCAGGTGCTGGAGAGGATGTGGAGAAATAGGAACACTTTTACACTGTTGGTGGGACTGTAAACTAGTTCAACCATTGTGGAAGTCAGTGTGGCGATTCCTCAGGGATCTAGAACTAGAAATACCATTTGACCCAGCCATCCCATTACTGGGTATATACCCAAAGGACTATAAATCATGCTGCTATAAAGACACATGCACACGTATGTTTATTGTGGCATTATTCACAATAGCAAAGACTAACCCAAATGTCCAACAATGATAGACTGGATTAAGAAAATGTGGCACATATACACCATGGAATACTAGGCAGCCATAAAAAATGATGAGTTCATGTCCTTTGTAGGGACATGGATGAAATTGGAAATCATCATTCTCAGTAAACTATCGCAAGAACAAAAAACCAAACACCGCATATTCTCACTCATAGGTGGGAATTGAACAATGAGAACACATGGCTTTACATTTTAAAGGCTTTTAGAATTAGCAATGCACTAGCAGAAGGAAAATCTCAAGTTTTTTTCTAAGCACAACTACGAGATTAGAAAACCAGTTGCGTAGTTGAAAGATCATAGACACAAAGGACAACCCTGCACTTGACTCTCAGTTCTGCTAACTTTTAGCTGTTTTATTTTAAGCAAGTTACCTACCTTTTCTGGGTGTCAGTTTCCCCTTCTGTAAATTAGAGATGAAAACAAACCACATAGAGTTGTTTTGAAGATTCAAGGAGAAAACGTGTGTTAAATATTTAGTACATAGTATCAGTTTAATACATGATTAGTATTGCAGTTATTCTCATTCTTATCATCCTCAGAATTCAATAAACATACCACTTCAAACCCATTAAGATGACTATTTAAAAAAAAAACATAACAAGTGTTGGTGAGGATGTCAAGAAATTGGAATGATCAGGGAATGTAAAATGGTGCAGCCACTGTAGAAAACAGTATAGTGACTCCTTCAAATAAATTCACATAGAATTACCATATGATCCAGCAATTCCACTTCTAGGTATATACCCAGGAGAATTGAGCCTGGGTATGGTGATTCATGCCTGTAATCCCAGCACTTTGGGAGGCTGAAGTGGGTGGATCATTTGAGGTCAGGAATTCAAGACCAGCCTGGCCAACATGGTGAAACCCTGTTTCTACTAAAAATACAAAAATTAGTCAGTCAGTCAGTGGTGGTGGTCATCTGTAATCCCAGCTACTCAGGAGGCTGAGGTGGGAGAATCGCTTGAGCCTGGGAGGAGGAGGTTGTGGTGAGCCAAGATTGCGCCACTGCACTCCAGCCTGGGTGACAGAGTGAGACTCCGCCTCAGAAAAAAATAAAAATAAAAATAAAGAAAGCAAGCACCCAGATATTTGTATACCAACATTCATAACAGCATTATTCACAATAGCCAAAAGGTAGAAACTACCCATGTCAACCAACAAACAAACAAACAAGTAAGTAGAGAAATGAAATGTGTACCCATACAATGGAATATTATGCAGCCTTTTAAAGGAAGGAAATTCTGGTATGTGCTGAACATGGATGAACCTTGATGACATTATGCTATGAAATAAACCAGGTGCAAAAGGACAAATAATATCACATGATTCCACTTACATGAGGTATATGTAGTCTTCAGATTCATACAGACAGAAAATAGAGTGGTGATTATCTGAGGGGAGAGGAGAATGGGGAGTTACTGTTTAATCAGTACAGAGTTTCAGTTTGGGAAGATGAAAAGGTCCTGTGGATGAACAGTGGTAATGGTTGCATAGCAGCAATGTGAATGTACTTAATTCTACTGGACTGTACACTTAAAAATGATCAAAATGTTAAGTTTTATGTTAAGCATATTCTACCACAATAAAAACACTCAATGAACAAAGTTTAATCAGATCTGCCAGAATAATTAAACAGCTGTAGTAAAGCCAACGGCATAGTTAAACTCATAGGAGGGTTTTTGGAAGGTTAAAGTGAAGACTCCATGTTCCTTCAACTCTAATCTGATTCCTTTATCTCAGAATGATGTTGAGATCCTGCGAATCTTTATTTTCCATAGAAGCAAGCATGCATGCATGCACGCACACGCGTGCGCACACACACACACACACACGCACACGCACACACACAGAGTCTCTGGGGCCCATAGAGACACAACCTGGAAACAGGGCTTGCCAGGATTAGAGAGCCAGGCCAGCCCATGTATCATTCACCCAGAAGACAGCGCTCCATGGAGAAAAAGAACCTCATAGTCTCCTAACAAAGAGGATAATAAATTCCGATTAGCCAAGGAAGCTCTGAGTCTAAATACCAGCAAAGCTCAGCCCCTGCAAGTGGGGACGAATTATTTGAAAGGTCATCCTAGAGACACTGAACAAAGGGCCTCTAGCAGCTGGGTTTCTTAATTTGAGGAAACACTGAAGCCTTTAAAGAAGCCAGAGGCAGAACTGGAGAGATGGGAAAGTGGAGCGGCCTTCTGAGCACAGGGAGGATTTAATAGGAAGGGAAACACAAGCCCCGCAGGAAGCTCTGGGACCTGGCAGCCATGGCTCTCTCTGCCAGGCTGACGGCCTCTGGAAAGAGCCGCCATCTCCTGTGCTGGGCCAGGGTGGCCTTTTTTGGCACTGTAATAAAATAGGATGGCTCTGATCTCAGTGATTAAAGCTTTAAAACCACAAGCCTCTGGGAGGGAGTAGACTCAGAGTAACAACCCGTACACCCCTGTTCACTCTTCTCCAGGCTGTGGGCTGCTGACAGAGCCCAGTCTGTCTCCAGAAAATTCCAGGGGCCTCTCAGGAGTCTAAGGCCAAGCCTCGACCAGTGGCCTCTTGCCTGGGTCCTGTTGTCACAACCCCAGCGGTTGAAAGATGGAAAGCTCCGTGGGAGGGCCAGGTGGCAGGCACGAAGCAGCCTGCTGGCCTGGAGCCATCCCCAGCTTCCAATAACCCCTCTGTCTAGAAAACCAAGGGAAGGAGAATGAAAGGGTCATCTTACTTGGGTAAAAACCTGAGCAATTGGCCTCATCCTGGACAGAGGGCACCCCAAGGGTAGACCTGAGTCAAATTCCTGAGTCTCTCAGGGAGCAAGGGGCTAGCTAGCACTGGTATGTTTCGAGCCAAAGACCATGCTAACAAGAGAAAGAAAAGAATATATATGGTGAACCAAGTGCTTAGTGAGGTTTTCCTATTGACTTTAATCCTCACAACAAGTTTGTGTGGTAGATAATGTTGTTCCCATTTTAGACAAAAGGGAATGGGGTACAGTCAAAATTTGAACCTGTATCTAGATGGCTCTAAAGTTGTCTCCTCTATACCACACTACCCCTAAATTAAGCCTTTCACAAATACTAGTTTCCTATGCCTTGAAAATAGTCTCTAATTCATATATTTGAGACACAGAAAAGTTTAGTAGCTTGCCAAATATACTGTCAGTGAGTTACAGAACTGAGACTAGAATTCATTTCCAACTGCTTCCAAAGCTGATGTTCATTCTTCCATGCCTCATATATCTTTAGTTAAAATAAAATAATCCTGTGGCTTTTTGCCAATCAGCAAACATTTTGCTCCTTCAGTTTTGAAGCCTTAGCCCTTTAAAGAGTAGCTCAGTAATTATGCTGCCCCAGTGCCCCAGAAGTCACAGTTTACTGCAGAATGAGGTGATATGAAACAAAACAGACACATCTCCAGGCCAAAGAAAGGCTATCTGGACTGCACAGACTTGATGACTTTTATTGAGATCTGAGGTCCATTTATGTACAAAAAGCAGTGAAGGGAAGTGGCAGTATATATGTGCATTTGGCACATGTTTAGTTCCTGCTCTGGCAAATGATTCTAGTTTTTTGGTTTTGGTGAGAAAAGACCCAGTGGGCTTGAGCAATAAAAATGACCAATCATTTTATGGAGAGAAATTAGATGTCATTAGCCAAAGTAATAAAAGCAACTGTCTCTTCCAAGATTCATGTATTCCAGCAAATGCAGGCATCTCTCTTCTCTTCAGACTTAAATTCTGCAAGTATGTTAATTTGCATAGGAAATATATACTTTTATAATCAGGTACCTCTCTTAGTTTCTTGGGGGAAATGTTCCCAAAGGCAGGAATATGCAAATTGAATAAAATGGAAATTATCTAGGATATTGCATATCACCTTATAATTTCAGTCAAAATGGCAAAGCCCACTTTAAGGATTACTCATGCCTAAAGGAAAGGGAATAGTTAAACCACAAAGGCTTGAAGGAGACCTCTTATATTGTTAAAGAACAATCCTAGGGCCACTCAGCTCCTATGAGCACCATCCTTGCAATAGAGACTTTCATATTAAAGGAAGAACAAAGGATGGGAAGTCTTTAGCAATAGGAGAAAGGCTTCCATGCAATACTTGTGGTTCCAGCAATATGCACAGTAGATGTTCTGAAAAAACTCCTTCCACATATAAATGCTAGATAAAATATAACAAACATCCTTTCAGATGCATGGCTGAGCTCACAAGAAAGGGAAATCCCCAGAGGTCAGAGGTCAGAAATGAAGAAGAAACTCAAAAGCAAGGTTGTAAGCATGTGTGCTTATGCTGTTGCTTCCCTGAGGTGACAGAGGGCAGGCACAGTCACTCATGGTAATCTAGGAGTTTGGATTTTAATGCCCATGTTGTGAAAGGAAATGAAGTCTTGTGCTTATGAAATGTGGGAAGAGTCAGAACTTACACACGCATAAAACCAGGACCCATGAAGAATAACACATATGATAAAAGGATACACCAGAAATGAGCTGCCTATCCCCAAAGACAGATAAGAGGAAAGTTTATCTCTCTCAGCTAGGTTGTGGTTAGGATAATATATTCTTGAAATCTGTAAACACCAATTTGAATAACATGTATGCCTGGGGCTCTAATTTATATTACATAATCCTGGAACCTCCAAGCTAGAATATTATACAGAATAGGTCCTAGGCTTTTAACATCCCTAGAGACTCTGGAATACCACTCTTATGGACAAATACTTTCAGTCAAAAATGAACATGATTCCTATGGATAAAGACCCACTCACAATAAACTCTCAATCCTAAACTAAAAACACATCAACAATTGATCTATTGTGAGTGGCTATCAGCAGAAAAAAAAATTATAGAGTTAAGCCCTAAAGAACTCCAATAATTAACCAATTTCATAGAGACTATACAAGTATATTTAAATAGTTTAAAGGCATAAAAAAGAGCTGCAAAAATGAGACACTGAGAAAAGAATAGATACTTTAAAAAGAATTAGAACTTATAGAAATGAAAAATATAGTTATTGAAATAAAAAATTCAATAGACAGTCTACAACTAAGCAAAGACCTTTTGTTTACAAAAGACCAACTGACTGATAAATTTGAGGTTATAAATTGAAGCTACCTGACACAGTGGAGAAAGCATGGGCCTTGTGGCCAGACAGACTAGACAGAATTCTGTAGAATGTGCACCACATCAAATTATAAACTAGTATCTGGTACTTATGAAATGCTTATTATGTACAAAGCAGTATCATAAACACTTTATATATTATTTAATATAATTCTTACAATAATTCTGTGATATAGGAATCAGTATCTTCATTTTACAGGTAAAGAAGCTGAGAATTAGGACGGAAAGAGCTTGCCCCACATTCCACTGACAATTGAAATCGCTAGGATTCAAACCCAGGTCTGTCTCACCGTCTTAACCACTGAGATTTGTAGCCTGTCCCATTAGACTGAAATCCTATTTGAATCAGCTGTGTAGGTTTACATTGCCTGAGAGTAGGAAAAAAGTATTTTCATCCTGAAGACCTAATAGAGCCTTTCAAGAATGTATTTTACAGCTCTTTTCTTGCTGATAGTAGCAGAATTTGATCTACAGCTCAAAGTGTAGGCCCAGTTGAATGTGGAAGACTTGACGGGTTAGACAAGCATCTTATGTCAGAAGACGCAAGGGGCCAGTTCTTTAAGTCTGGAAAGCTCAGGCTAATATTAGTGATCAGAGCCTGTCATGGAAGAATTTGAGAAGTCAGTAAAATGTTGAAGGATTGGGGTGACTTTGAAAGTCAAGGCTAGCAAAATGTTCAGAATTTAGTGGTTCAAATGGTTAGGGAGATTAGTATTATCAAAGTGCAATTCTGAATGAGATCTGGATCAGAAATTAGTCATCATTTTTCTGTTCTCTTATTCTCTCATATTTCCTCCTGAGGCTGGTTGCTTGAGTCCTTAGAGGAAGCCCAGAAAGTAAAGATGACCTTGCCTCTGACTAAGGCAGAAAATCATTAGGCTCTGCTTGATGTGTCCTATCTCAGGTTATATCTCCAGAAGAGGATAATGCTCTATTAACATCTTGTTCAGGTAACCATATTACTACAGTTGTTATACAAAAACTAGAGCTGATTAGAAGCATTTCTAAGAATACGTATTTCATATTTCACAGCTAGTTTCTCAGAAAACAGTGTAAACAATCACTAAGCATTTTAAAAAATTAATGCAAAACCCCAGGAACCTTGCATGGAATGATTTATGTTACATTTGTAACATAAATATAATGCAAATGAACAAAAATAAAAGCTTAAAAAATGTATATTGGGACTTTTTTTGACTTTTGGATAGGCTGTTGAAAGGTCGGTGAGGATTGAAATATTTATAATGATAACAAGAATTTATTTTTAAAGCCTTTTCTCAAGGAATTCTCACAATCCTCTTGAGTCTACACCATTAGACTTAATTTACAGATGGGAAAACTTAGGCAAGGGCAGTTAATGAAAATTGCCTAAGATAAAATAATTCATTAAGTGACAAACCATACTCTAAATTCAAGGTTTCCCAATTCTAAATCTCATGCACATTTCAATATGTCTGGTTAGCAACTTGGTAGCTGACTTAAAGCACATGCAAAAACTATGGGTTAAAGGAATCTAACAAGGTGAAATTTATCAAGGATAAACTTAAGGTACTGCCTGAATTTATGCCAAAATACCCTCAAATAAGTGAGGTATAATGTCCCAGCAGCTCATTGAAAAAAGACTCAGGAAGTCTGGTTAGCAGGAAGAACAGCATAAATCATTATATGTGACAGGACCACAAAAACTGAAACTTTAGTGACTTTATGCTACATCAAGAAGACAGACAACTCCTGGAACATCTTGCTCCATTTTGGGGTTTATGCTTTAAGAGGAAGCTATATAAAGTGAAAGACGATCCCCAAAGAGAAAACAAGATGGTAATGTACCAGAATGTCACCATATAGAGAAATGATGAAAAAACTCAGCATGTTTAGCTTGGAGAATCAATGAGATGAATTCAAGATATTCCCACCCCCAGGCAAATATAGAAACCCTAGGACTTTTAAGAAGAGGATAATTTACCTGGGATAATATGGCTGCTACAGTACTGGACTGTGGAATGATACTTGTCTGGGTTTGAATCCTACTTTCACTACTTACCAGCTATACTTACCACCTTGGGCAAGTTATCTAATCCTTTGGGTAAGTTATCTAACCTGTCTCTCAGTGTTCTCATAAATAAAATTAGACTAATAAGAGTACCTTCCTCCTAGGATTATTTTGAGGATTAAATGAGTTCATACAATTCATAAATTTAACACAAGCTATTGCTATAGCAGAGCAGAAATCTCATTAAGTATTATTTGTTGATGCTATTATCCTTTCTCCAATTAAGTGGGCCATTCACTACCCAAGAGAAGAATCTGTCTTATAGGCATAATGGCAGCTAGGAGATGGGTCTCCACTTCCTCAGCATTTGAGACTCCCACACTCACCTCAGATGAGTCTTTCATTTCCATGAAGTGCTCTCAATGCCTGAAACATTTGTACCAAAATCTAAACCATCCCAAAGAACAGAAATGCCTTTTAAAACACAATCTCCTAGATTTACCATCTTCTACATACCGGCTGTGTGATCTAGAGCAAGTTAATTTGTCTCTCAGAGCCTCCGTTGCCTCATCTGCAAAATGCCTTGCTGTAGGAAAGATGACTGAGAAAATGTGTGTGGCTGTTCCCAGTGTCAGCCTACTATAGGCAAAATGATCAGGAAATGCCTTTTTTCTTTCCATAACTTAAGAAGAAGCTGTGACAATGTGATAGTTTTGAAATACATCCATGTAGTCAAACAGGCTATATTAGTCTATTTTCATACTGCTATGAAGAAATACCCAAGACTGAGTAATTTATAAGTAAAAGAGTTTTAATGGACTCACAGTCCCACATGGCTGGGGAGGCCTCACAATTATGGCAGAAGGTGAAGGAGGAGCAAAGGACATCTTATGTGGCCACAGGCAAGAGAGCGTGTGCAGGGGAACTACCCTTTATAAACCATCAGTTCTCATAAGGCGTATTCACTATCACAAGAACAGCATGGGAAAAACCCGCCCCCATGATTCAATTACCTCCCACTGGGTCCCTCCCATGACACGTGGGGATTATGGGCACTACCATTCACGATGAGATTCAGGTGGAGACACAGCGAAACCATGTCACAGGCACTGAGCCCCATGATGCTATGAACACAGGGATGAATAATGTATGACCCCAACACTGAGTCTGCTCATGGTCTGGAGGAAGAGGAAGTAAATAAGCAAGTGCCTAAGAACATGGCAGTAGCTAGTGATCTCAGGCAGGTTGGAATCATGGATGGGAGTAAAGGGCAGCAACCACACTGCAGGAACTTCAGGAGCAAGCAAAAGTTGGAGTTAGGAGATGATAACAAATATACCACACTCTTAAGAAACTAAAATGGAGAAAGAAGGAAGGAGAAGGAGAGGGATATCCAGAGTTATCAGAGGCGTGTGTGTGTGTGTGTGTGTGTGCACGTGTGTGTATTTGTCTGGGGCCATATTTATAATCTGAAAAAAAGAACTAGTAAACAGGGAATAATTAAATATCAACATGACAAGGGCAGCCATTGTGCAAGTCCAGTTGTCAGAGTTGACTGACAGGTGTATAGATAGCTCACCTCACCTTTACATCGGGGTGGAAAGCCACAGTGGACCTTAGGACAAAGGGACGGTTCCAGAAGTTCCTATTCTAGGGATACAGCCAGACCCTCAGCACCTCCACAGGGGATGGATGTTATCCAGAGCCCTGAAGTCACCCATGAAGACAGCAGGAACCTCCCGAACTCTTCTTTGCGGTAGAGGGCCTGAGTGAAACACTGACAAACCACAAATTTGTTTCTTGCTTTGTTTTTTTGGTGGTGGTGTTTTTCCTTGGGAACTGGCACATTTTGCATTGAGGGTTACACAAAGCAAAACAGCTCTAGTGTCAAATGGAAATCCAGCAGGCTCTTCCCAAGATGTACGCTTCCTTTGTACAGGCCGCCGACTTGGGAGAGGGGGCCCAGGACATAATGCCTGTGCCTCTTGGGAAGCACATCCAGACAATGGTCTGTGTGTGAAAAGGGGAACAGATTAACCAGGACCGGGGTATCTCCCAATTGCTTTTCTTAAAGAAAGACTCTATTGCCAGGAAGCAAAGCACACACAAAAACAATACCTAAGCTAACAGAGTACTGGCTTTAATATACTCAGAAATAACAGAACACGGGCAGGCTACAACTTTCCAAATCCCCTTGAAAATCCTTTGCCAGAGCAGAGATGGTTTGTCAAATCTATACTCTTTGTTTAATACGTTTGTTCTTTTGTTTGATCAAGGGGGGAAGCCGTCTAACTCATTATATTGGGGGAGCTGCATTCATTCCTTTGTGCTTCTTTTTCTTCTTCTAATCTTTATTAAAATCAAAAGAAGAGCCACTCTAATCCTTCAAATGATAATTTATTTCTCAACCTACAAAGTCAGAGTCTTCGCTATTATTTTAAAAACAAATCAATGCAACAATTTTAATTAAAAATGAAACAGAGTGAACCTAAAAAATAAATAGGCATTTGTTAGATCAACGAGCAAACTTGTTTACAATTAATGGGCAACAGGACTCCTGGTGATAAAGAAAGGGTTTTAAAGCACCAGAATGTTTCACTGCAGTTGGTAAATTCTCTGGACTTTCATTTGAGTCTTTAGAGAGAAAAATACATCTAGAAGTCTCCTAATGAAATGTCCTGACCCTGGGAAATTTTATGCTTCAAAATGTGCTCTACCCACTGCCCCAACTGTCCCCCACTCCCATCTCTGCCAGCAGCTTCCTTGGCTAGAAGACTCAGTGGGTTCTCTTTTAGCTGGGGTTATTCATCTCAGATAGCAGAGCAGGTTTGGCATTCTCACAAGGAAAAAAAAAGGCTCTGTATTAAGGAGACATGCTTTGGCCTGCTCATTGGTGGGTGGGGCTGGTGGAGTGGACTGATGATGATCTTTAGGAAGGCTCAGGTTTCTCAAGCAGGAGAGAAAACCACATGTAGTAGGAAGTGGACTTTCTCCCAAATACCACTTAGGAAAAAAAAAGTGATTTCCTGAAAGGAAAGCTAATGGAAAATGAACTTAAATATGTAAATTTATTCAGTGTGTATCTTTTATTGAGAAGCTACTGAGTTCCAGCAATGGCATTTAGGATTGAATTTCAAGAGATGATCTTTCAATTGGTTTATGGTGGTCCAGCAGTCTCCCAGCTCTGTCTCTGTGGCAAGCCTGAAAAGAGGAGTCACAGAATCTAAGTTCATGGTTCAGTGGAGGAGGCAAACCATGTGATGAAGGCTATGGCAGACATGGATGCTAAGTGCTGTGGGAGGGGACATGGAGGGAGAGAGAACCTCCTTTGGAGTCACCTGTACCTCTGGACCAGGTCAGGGAAAGCTGTAGGGAAGAGGTGCTTTTCAGATGGGCTCTGAAGAATAAGTAAGACTTAAGCAAGTGGATGAGGATGAAGAAGAGCATTCGTGGCAGACCAATACGAGCAGGCTCAAGTACTGTAAGAATGTAAGAATGTAGAGGAGTGCAGGGATGAGGGGCAGATGGTTATAATGGTGTTTTTTTCCCCCTCATAAACTCCTATTCCTCCTTCCAATGTTAGCTTAAGCTTTATCTCTGAGAGGACTTCCCTAAGCTGCCTATCTTGGTTCTGGGGACTCCCTGCACAGTACTGTGTGTCACTTGTTGATTCCCCCACTAAACTGTGCCCCTTAACCTGCTCAGTCTCTCTCCCCTTCATTCCCAGCACCACAGTGCCTTGAGAAGTGGACTGAGCAGGAGGCCAGGGTCAGATGCTCAGATTTTCAGGGTGGAATGAGATATAACACCTCTGTTAATGCTGCAGCAAAAAAATGCAACTGAAGTGTGTTTGTGTCTAAACTCCTTATGCGGCCCTGGACACTATGATTGGCTGCCCAGGTACCCCTTCAGGAATGAAGAATTTGTCACTGCATGGAAGGATTTCTGTGGGCAGATAGCCCTCAACTGTTAGCCCCTGAAGGGTCTCAGCTGAAGAGATGACCTGACCCAAGTTCACACACTCTTCCAGAGCCATCTGCATCCAGTGACTGATTGTCAGGGTGTTTATATGCTCAAGCTTCTCAACCTAATATTAGACAGCTCTCAAAAGCCATCATCCCATCTTCACAACTTCCTGTGGATTCGTTGTGAACTCCTATGCATCAAGACTAAACCACAGCTTGACTTCTCTCTCTGCCCAATTGATCCTGCTTTCTTCTCTTTCCTTCCAAGCTCTTAATCCTAAGAGTCCTCCCCAAAAGATTTCCTCCATGCTACTCTCTATATTAGGATCTGCTTCTGAGACAATCCAACCTATTATAGCCTCTTGAGGGTCCAGCCTCAGGGAACCCAGGGTTGACCTGTCACGGTCACACTTAGCATACCTGGTAGGTTTGTTTTTTGTAAAAGCAGATAATTTGAGAGGAATTGTAAACAATTAATAAGTCTTGTGAACACGACTATGTTAACAAATCATCAGAAAAAAACAATTAGCAAATTAAGAAAAATAGCATCCAGGTCTGGCAATTTTGTGAGTGTTCTATTCTGGAGAAAATAAAAATTAGTACAGGTCTTCTAAAAAGCAATACGATAACATATATCAAGAATTATAAATCATTCCAAACATGGAATTTATCCTGAAGAGATCATTAAAAAGAATAAAATGAATCTATACAGGATGATGTTCTTTGTAGCATTAACTCGAATGAGAAAAAAAGTGAAACACCCCAGCTATCCAACATTAGGGACAATAATACTGTGGAACGATCTGCAGTGATAACCATGAAGACTAAATGAAAAGCACAATGCACTTATGATATAATTATAGGGGAAAGAAGCAAACATTTTAAAAGTTCATTATGACTACCTAAAATCTAAGTGGATTCAGATAAAGTAAGTAAAAGGAGATGACACAAAATGATTTTGAATGATTTCTTTTCTTTTTCCAAATTTTAGTGTCATCACATTCTTCCCTTTAAAAAATTTAACTAGCAGATTATTTGCATGATTTGACATCTAGTCTTCTTGCATGAGCAAAAGGGAGAGTAAATATAAAAGAACAGAAAATCAGACCTCAATAATATGGGCCTAGAATGTGATATGACCTTTCCCTGCCCCCAACTTTCTGAAAGAGATCAAGGTCTTGAAGTGGATGGATATAATTTGACAGCTGCTCTTTGAGCCCTACTTCAAGAAAAGAATAAAGTCATAATTCTCAAGGGGTATCCATGTTTTTTTAAATTTAATTTTTATTTTATTTTATTTATTTATTTATTTATTGAGACAGAGTCTCGCTCTGTCGCCAGGCTAGAGTGCAGTGGCGTGATCTCAGCTCACTGCAACCTCTGCCTCCCGGGTTCAAGTGATTCTCCTGCCTCAACCTCCTGAGTAGCTGGGACTATAGGCATGTACCACCATGCCCAGCTAATTTTTGTATTTTTAATAGAGACGGGGTTTCACCATGTTGGCCAGGCTGGTCTCCATCTCTTGACCTCGTGATCTGCCCGCCTCGGCCTCCAAAAGTGCTGGGATTACAGGAGTGAGCCACTGTGCCCGGCCTCCATGGTTTAATTAAAAGAAGTTCTTGTTCTCAGTCTATTGGGGTCAAAGAAAATTACTCTTCCGTATACCATCTCCTTTTAGTCACCATGCACATTTAGTCAATCCCCTTTATAGCAGAAGAGACATCTCCAGCCTTCTTAAGAGAACTCCTTCAGGAATCCCTTCATTCCATGATTCTTGGACTCCTGATTCTACTTTGCATCATGGTACCTGGACTGTATGACCTGGTTTCCTGGACTCTCCTTTAGCTATGATAACCCAAGTAACAACATGTGTTATCATCACAGCTTCCAGTTATTTTGTATTTCTGTGTGCTGAGCACTGTGCTTAGCTTCTTATCTATATTTTATCATGTAGTGCTTATAACAACTCTATGACTATTATTATTCCCACTTGGAAGATGAAGACACTGAGGTTTCAGGAAATTAAAAACTCAGTGCAAGATCATAAGTCCAGAAGGGTTCAAGAACAAGATTCAAACCAGGTTTGCAACCAATAAAAACTATGTCTCAACCATCATGCCTGGAGATCATGCTGATTCACACAAAAGTCAACATTCTGCTCTTTCCACTGAGGAGCATTTCGGGAAATTCCCTTCTGTCATTTGCCTTAAAAACTCCATAATTCTTGGGAGACACAACTGTTGCTTTGCAAAGCAATTACATTAAATATGCATCAGACTGCTTAGCTTGTCCTGAAAATGAATTAGTCACCTTTCTCTTTTTTTTCCTCACTCTGCATCTTTTTATACAAGGAACTTGGTGACCCTGCCCTGGTGTGTGCACGATAGAGGGCAGGGAAGAGAACAAGCAGAAAAGGGAAAGAAATACGTGGGGATGAATCTAGCTCATGTCCAGAGACTCAAATGGGAATGCCCTGTGGAAATGAACTGTGAAGGCCTGGCCAACAGGGCTGTCTGTCTAGTACCTTCTGCCTACTGTGTAGCTTCACAAAATAATTATCATAGGTTAATCAGGTCGGCAAACTTGCCGGGCACTGAAAAGCCGGGCAGCCTCAGGTGTGCTCTCAGTGGGCAACCGCGGAGGCTCTCTGGCTGCTCAGATGAGCAAGTTACCTGGGAACAATTGATCTGCTGAGAAATCTGATGGCTGCCTCATGAGGGGAACCAGGTCACTAGGATCGCTGGGTGAAGGCTGCTCACCCTTCGAACAGTCTAACCCTCTGTGATCAGGCTGTTTTAATCCCCACATCTCAAGACTCTCACAAATCTGGAACTGGTTTGTAGTCTAAGGCCCTGGCAGGGATAATATGTTTAATTGGCTTGAAAGCAGAAAACGCAAAGTACAGGACATGCAGCAAAGTTAGTTTTGTAATTACAAGAAGTCCGGTGCCCTTCAGAAGGGTTACATGTGGGTATTTCTCCAAAATGGATTGTTTTTTGTTTTGTTTTGGGGAGTTTGTCTTTTTGTTTTTGTTTCATGGTGTTTTTATCTACTGCATAGAATTTGGAGGAAAAAGCCCAGGATTTGAAATGTGGACAGGAATTTAAATCCTTGGTGGGCACATAGCAGCTGTGTGACCATGGGCATGATACCTAACCTCTGTGAGGTACAATGGGGACAATTATATCCACCTCTTAGGGAGGTCATGAAAATAAATTGAGATCAAACATATGAAAGCACCCAGCACTGGCATACTCAGTCCATATTAGTTTCTCATTCTCTTCATTATTTTCATTATCATCTTTATCACATCCTCACCTTTTTTCATCATTGTCAGTAGCTGCAGCATCAACCCAGTGCCCTGACTTTCAAGACGACTATGAAAACACCCCAACTGCTGCTAAATTACCAGCAACAAGGATCTGGTGAGTAAGTTATTTTGGGGAAGTCAGGTCTTGTCAGCGTGCGTCGAGTTTCTTGCAGTCCTGTGTGTCAGTCTTTCTTAAACCCCTCAGATACCCAGAACCTCTCTGTCTACTAAAAAGAACTGAACTATTAATGTCCCTCATAGAAGAAGAAAGGGAAACCGGCTCCTGTAAATGTGGGTCAGGAATCACCAGGGAGGTAATGACTTGGTCTGCTCTGTGTTCTCTGGCCCTCCTTGGTCCTTCCATGAAAGCCCTCTGTCAGGAGCCCTGCGTGGCCATGGAGTGATTGCCCTTTTGTTCTACAAATTCCTGGATATGACTCACAGAACCGTTTAAGCACGTCTCTCTTCATGTTCCTAGGAATTTTCCTGACAAGAGCAGTGCCTATCCTGAGGCAATCGTATTTCTCCTTGACTTCTCTCCAGTATCAGCTTGTTGCTTGACACCCCTGCACAGCCAACTGTGTAATGTGGGTGAGTCTAGCTGCATTTTCTTCAGACACAAGCCTGGCTACCCAGTGCTAAGGTGACATCAGGCCAGGCCACAGTAAGTCATTTATCCTCCACGCCTTCCTCTCCAGCCCTGAGTGAGGTGGAGTCCTTGAAACTATCACCATCCAGTGGAAATCAGTGCTGCACTTTCAGGAGGTTAAGCATGAAAAGAGCATAAAAGGTGCTATTACCCCGTGTCTCAGTAATTCCCCTTCTGGAAACCTTTTCTGAGGAAATGATGTGAAAGGATTCGGTCATAGTGGCTGGTAGTTACTGAGCACTCACTATGTGCTGACACTTATAATTGCCAGGTATATATTGACTTATTTAATCATCATAACAACTCCAGGAGGAAGCAGTCAGGTTATCCCCATTTTTCAGATGAGAGAACCAAAGAACAGTGAGACAATTGTATGTATGTTCATGCTGCTTAAGTGTGTAGGAGCTGAGAGTGAGCCCAGGTAGTCTGATTTCACAAGTCCTCACTCTTGACTTCTATACTAGTGTGGCCTCCATGCACAAAGCTTGATATAAATAGAAGAGGAAGAAGAAGAAGAATGAGGAGGGATGGGAGAGAAGGAAGAAGGGGAGCAGGAGAACAAAAGGAAGGAAAAGAACAGGACAGGAAGGAAGATTTAGAATAAAAGTTAAATTTATTGTTATTTATGATAGTGAAAATCTGGGCCAGGGCCATTTGGGTCAAGTATTCTGGCATTACAGGTACCCAGGGTATTCTGAAGAAAGAGAGTTCTATGGGTACAGCTGCCTTCTCACTCACTGGGGAGGAGCACAGTACTGAGAGTGGGGCTTACGTTTACAAAGTTGGTATGAAAATTAATAGGCATCTACATTCCTAGATGTCAATAAATAGAGTGAGAGTTGTTTGTTTGCTTGCATATTGGAATGGAGAAAAATAGGTCCAGTCCTAACAAACTTTAAATTACTTCTGCTCTTCCCTTCTTCCTGAACACTTTCATCTGTCCACATTACTATGCGAATTTTTTGATGCTGTCAATGGGAATTTTTAAAATAAGTATGTTGCTATGTCAAAAAATTTGGAAATTAAAAGATGTTGTTTTACATTCTTGGCACAAAATGCCTCAGGTTCAATCTTCTCAGAAAAATATCAGGCACATCTATCTAATACCAAAAAGTTTTCAGAATGGTTATCCTAGGAATTCTCTTTCTGAAAATTTACTATAGTGAACTAATTGACAAGGGGAGAACAATTTTTCACAGGAAGATAATCCAATATCACTTATAACAACAAATATTAGAAACACCTCAAATGTCCAATAGGGAAATAGTTAAGTATCTTAGGGTATATCTCCTCCATGGGATAGTATGCAGTCATTGGCAATGATAATTTCAAAGACAAAATGTTGCAAACTGAGAAAATGGTTAAAAGTAAAACACACAAAAATTATATAGAAATTATTACCATCAAATGATATACATTTTTGCATATAGACAGAGATACATTTTTTGCATGTAGACAGAGACTGAAAGGCTGTACAGAAATTAAATCAGATTAATGATGATGGGATTCAAGATAGTTTTATTTTGATATGCTTGTTTCCACATTAAATATTACAAATTTACAGATAAAAGGACAATGATAAAAGGACAAAGCATTGTAATGGGTGCAGTGCAAAAGGAAGTCTTGGGACAAGCAAGATGATAGACAGGAAGCTACTGCCCTAATCAGGTATGAGATCCTAGTAGTGAAGTTGAACAGTGATAGTAAGGGGAGGATTCCAGAGATAAGCTATAGTCAGTGAGAGTGAGAGGGAATCACTGATATTCGAAAGTTTGTGATTTGAGCCTAACAATAGAGAATAACAGTACAGGAACAGGACTAGGGAGAATTTTGGAAACATTATATGTGGAGGTAACATAGAGACATTCTTTAAGCAATATCCAGTTGGAAGCTGGAATAATGTTTTGGAGCTCACAGCAACGTGTGACTCTGGTCCCCACGTGTCTACATGCGCAGAGGATGATTTTGTATCCAAATAGAGATCTGAGCTCATGGTAATTCTTAATATACAAAGTATAGGACTCAGGCCAGCATATTACAGGTCAAGATTCACCTTAGTGATTGCCAAACTTAGAGTTCTGTAATTGTTTTCTTTTGACAGATATTACTCCAAAACTTAGAAGCTTAAGCTTTTGTTATCTCACAATTTCTGTGGGTCAGGAATCCAGGTGCAGCTTAGCTGTTTGTCTCTAACTAAGGATCTCTCAAAAGGGTAAAATCAGGGTGTGAGATAGGGCTGCAGTTATCTCAAGAGTAATCTTGGAGAGGATCTTTTTCCAAGCTTCCTCATGTGGCTGTTGGCAGGCTCAGCTCCTCACTGACTGTTTGCCAGTGACATCAGCTCCTTACCATTTGGACCTCTCCCTTGAGCAGTTTGAAACATGGCAGCTGGCTTCCTTCAGAGAGAGAAAGAGAAAGGGAGAGAAGGAGAGGGAGAGAGAGAACCCAAGAAAAAAGTCACAGACTTTTTATAACCTAATATCAGAAATGACATTCCATTACTTCTGCTGTATTTTATTTGTTACAAGGGAAATAAGCCCAATTCACATTGAAAGACAGGGAGTCACAGATGGGGAGGAGCAGCAGGAGGTGGGGATTATTGGGGGTTATCTTAGAGGCCTCCTACCACCAGTTTTGTGGAGGTAAATTGAAGTCATTCCACACCATTACCATCAGCACCATCACTGCCATCTTTGCCATATTCGTTCACTACTTACTCTTTTGAAAAATATGGAGAAGTTGATTTTTGCAGAACTGCATAAAGTTAGCCTTCAAAGATCTCTTCAAAGCTATCCAGCTCAGAAACAGTAAATGCAGTGCAGTAAGCGTGTTGCCATTCTCCCTTTTCATGCTGCTGTCAGACATAACTGATCATCCAATTCCCCCTCCCATATCCATGCTAGGCATAACTAATCATTTAAGCCCTTGAATGTTGTGAGCATACCCAAAGTCTTGAAGTAAGTAGCAAAACTGATATTTGAATTCTGATCTGATGCCAATATCAGTTCTCTTCCTGTTACTCACTGTCTACCTTTCAGCTCCACTCCTGGCAAGTTATTTTACAGCTCCATTTCCTATGCAGTGTGACATAACAATTCTAATATTTGGGTGGTTGTGTGGTGAGTGTATATGTGTATACCCACTGGCATATTCTGTTGAATAGAATTGGCAAAACAGTAATCCAGATCACAAGATCACACATGGACACACATATACATACGTACATGTATATTTGTATATATTTTTCTTTTTCCAGAAAGTGATTATGCCATTCCCATCCAATCTAGTCAACCCACACCAGTGTGAATACTAGCAAATTGTTCTTGCCAGTAGTGGAATGTGCAATGTGCCCAAGGAGATTGTCTAAAATTTAAAGGACAGAGACCAATACAAAGTATTCACTGCCTATATCCCCCTTACTTAGAATACGGTCTGCCATGCAATGTGCCGTAAACATCTGATGAATTAGTGTGTGAATGATTACAGGAATGAAATCAGTTATTTTTCTACCATCAATCATTCAGGCACCACTTCACAGGTTTTGCCATACACCAGTGTTTTTTGAACTTAATATTTCTCTTTAAATCAATTAATTTTAAACCTAAATAATTTTTAAACAGAACCTGTAACTTGTTATCATCAATAAAAAAAGAGTTATTTTTAAATGACATAGCATATCTATTTTACAACATTCACAAATCACCTAGAAATCATCTTGCATAACACTAGGGGTGAGTGCACTGCACTAAACAAATGAATGTAAATCCCATAGCATGTGTCCATGTTTGGAGTCTCAGAGATGGCTGAAGAGGCCCTTTAAAGAACCAGTGGCAGTGCCTGCCAGGAGCCTGGCAAGAGTAACTGGCCTCTTTAACCCTAGGAGAGACTGTAAAGTCTGTGAAATATCAGTGGAATTGGAAGAGGCGTGGTCAAGGCAGTGGCAGATGAGAATCCATTAAAACATCCTATAGGGAGGCTGTTCTCACTTCCTGCCAGGATGCTAGTCACATTCACTCATTCATCCAGTACCTTTTCAGATACTACCATGAGCCTAGTCCTGAACTAGGTTCCATGAAGACCAAAAGGAATAAGGCCCAATGCTTGTCCATCAAGAGCTCAATCTAAAAGAGAAGTAAGAAGTACAAAACAAACAAAAACCCTTCATGCACTTATAAATTCTCTAATAGGGTCATGCATAAGATGTTCAAAATACTGAGGAAGCAAATGCCGCTGCCTCAGAGGATACAGAGAAGAGGTAACACCTGTTCCTCGATACAAAGAACAGGTATGTAAGGGCGCTCAGAGCAGAAACAGAATAGGTAAAGGCCTTGGAGGTGAAAGACAATGAGCATGACACGTGTGGCAATAGCAGTGAGTATACCAAAGGAAGTGGAAGGGGTAGAGGTTAACTATGAGAGCATGGGTTATGAGGGCTGCTTAGCTTGGTGAAAGAGTCTGGAATTTATCCTGAGGGCAAAGGAGGTCATGAAGGATTTTAAGCAGAGGAATAAAGCAGCCAGTCGTATATTTTAGAAATGTCCCTCCAGCTGATGTCAGTAGTACAGACCGGGGATGCAAACTCGGTTTTCTCATCTGTGCAATGGTCTTTGTAAGCTACTTCAGAGGGATCACAGGAGAATTAACACCTCTGAGTGAAGCACTTTGATTTCCACAGAGAAAAAGTCAAATACATCTATTAAGTTAAAATACTATCATCCTTGAGTTTCCATAATCTTTTCTCTGACCCTTCTCGCCCACATAAGCATACTGCCCCAGGAAAGAGTTTGTGAAAAGAATTCAGAAGAATGTAATCCTAATATACAAATTGTGCTATTGTTTATAACTAATCACAGTTAATGTGAGTAGAAAACAAGAAGAGTGCCATACACAGAGTAATTAGCTTTCCTGAAAAATTTATAGGAAAGGAAATTGGTTACAGAGGAACGGAGGTCTCAGCTTGGTCACTTCCTTTTTGGATTTGGGCAAGTCTCTTAGCTTTCTAAGCTTCACTTTTCTCAGCTCTAAAATGCAAAAATAAGTTTTGTGTTATAGATCTCTAAGGCTCTTCTAACAGAAGTTCTAGGTTTTTAAGATGCTCTGGGCAGGGCATGGTGGCTCAAGCCTGTAATCTCAGCACTTTGGGAGGCTGAGACAGGTGGATCAACTGAGGTCAGGAGTTCGAGACCAGCCTGGCCAACATGGCGAAACCCCGTCTCTACTAAAAATACAAAAATTAGCCGGGCGTGGTGGCACATGCCTGTAATCCCAGCTACTCGGGAGGCTGAGGCAGGAGAATCGCTTGAACCCAGGAGGCGGAGGTTGCAGTGAGCCGAGATCGCACTACTGCACTCCAGCCTGGGTGACAGAGCAAGACTCCCATCTCAACAAAAAATAAATAAATAAATAAAAATAAAAAAAGATGTTCTACGTTTTTTTAGTTATACAATCTCTTTGATGGTAAAACATAAAATAAAAAGTCACAACTTATACAGACAAGTATTAACAATGGATTGTTTTCACATATATTTAACTGAGTGTTAGTATAAAAATAAATCTTTTTATACTAATATATGATGCACATTAATACAAGCAGAATTTTATCTAAGTAGTACAACTGTTTTTTTGTTTGTTTGTTTTGGTTTTTTTTTTGGGTTTTTTTTTTGAGACGGAGTCTCTCTCTGTTGCCCAGGCTGGAGTGCAGTGGTGCGATCTCGGCTCACTGCAAGCTCTGCCTCCCGGGTTCACTCCATTCTCCTGCCTCAGCCTCCCGAGTAGCTGGGACTACGGGCGCCTGCCACAACCCCTGGCTAATTTTTTGTATTCTGAGTAGAGACGGGGTTTCACCGTGTTAGCCAGAATGGTCTGGATCTCCTGACCTTGTGATCCGCCCGCCTCGGCCTCCCAAAGTGCTGGGATTACAGGCATGAGCCACCACACCCGGCCAAGTGTGTGTGGTTTTCTTTTTGTTTTATACTAATTATGGTATTCTTGCTGTCCTGACCAAATTTTTATTAGTCACATTATCACCTTCTTCATTTTGTTTTTACTTTTATTTTAGGTTCAGGGGTACATGGGTAGATTTGTTATATAGGTAAACTCATGTCAAAGGGGTTTGTTGTACAGATTATTTCATCACCCAGGTAGTAGGCCTAGTACCAAATGGTTTTATTTTCTGATCCTCTCCCTTCTCCCACCCTCCATCCTCAAGTAGGCCGCAGAGTCTGTTGTTCCCCTCTATGTGTCCATGTGTTCTCATTATTTAGCTCCCACTTATAAGTAAGAACATGCAGTATTTGGGTTTGTTCATGCATTAGTTTGCTAAGGATAATGGCCTCCACCTCCATCTGTGTTCTTGCAAAGGAAATAGTCTCATTCTTTTTTATGGCTGCATAGTATTTCACGGTGTATATGTGTCACATTTTCTTTATCCAATCTGTCATTGATGGGCATTTAGGTTGATTCCATGTCTTTGCTATTATGAATAGTGCTTCAATAAGATGTTCTATATTTCTTAATGGCAAGAGTTTCATAAGTATCTGGAATAAGAGCATTTGAGTCCAGAGAATGAGAAATGCAAAACCCTTAGAGCAGCAATGAGTTTTATGGGTTAGAAGAAAGTCAAAATGCCAATGTAGATATAGCACAATTCACCAATGGGGAAATTAGTAGAAAATAAGATTAGAGAGGTAGGCAGTGGCTGGATCAGGTAATGCTTGGTAGGTCATTAAGAAGTCTGAATTTCATTCTCAGTAAAATGAAAAGCAATTGAAGTGATTTTAGGGACAGAAACACAATCCATTTTAAAAGGAACACTGGCTACTGGAATAGAGAAAAGATATGGGGAGAGGAAAGAAGGAAGAGTAGAAGCAATGAGATCAATTTGTAGGCAATTGTAGTCCAACAAAGAGAGCATGGTAGCTTAGACCAGAACTGTCGGATGGAGGGAAGTGAGATTAAGGTAAAGCTGATAAAACTTGCTGAGAGCTTAGGTGTAAGAAATAAGGGGAAATGAGAAATCAATAATGATTTCTAAGTTTTGAAAAAGACTGGAAATAATCAGAGTATTTTGAGAGGGAAGAAAAGATCAAGATTTCTGTTTTAGCTGTATTACATATAAGATAGATAATAGACATTCTAGATGTTTGGCAGGTAATTGATATCCCATATATCATGGAAGAATTTAGGACAAGAGATAGAAAGTTGGGGGTTATCAGACTGTATGAAATAATCCATAAACAAATGCAGGTGACGAGAAGACAGTAGAGAAACACACTGAATTGTCAGAGCAGGGATGGAGGAGCCAGCAAAAAAAAAAAAAAATACTAAGATGGGTTGGCCAGTGAAGGAGAAGAAAATCTAGAACACACTATCACAGAAGTGAAGAGAACAGAGTATTGAGGAGAGAAAAAGTGAATAACTTTGTCAGAGCACCTGAGAGTTTAAGAGTAGCACTGATAATTGATCACTGGATTTGACATGTCACTGTTTGATGGCATTGATAATAACAGTTTTCAAAAAATGTTTTTGAAAGAATGGGAACTAACACCTGATTGGCACATTTTAAAAAAAGGATTAGAAATGAGATAGTGGAGAGAGCAAGTATGGATGGACAATTCTTTTCTCGAGTTTTGCTTTAACAGAGAGGAAAAACATATGGCAAGAACTAGAAGAGAATGTGAGTCAAGGGCGGGTTTCATTTTCTTAACATGGGAAACAGGATAGCATGCTTGTCTGCTGATGGTAATGATCAACAGAAAAGGAAAAAATGATCAAGAAGACAGAGGGATAACTACTACAGGAACAAAGTCCAAAAGAAAGAAGTCAGATGAGATCCAGTGCACAAGCAGAAGGGTTGGTCTTAGTAGAAGCATGAACAATCCCTATGAATAAATATATAAACAGGAGAAAGCTGGCTCTGGAGGTTGAGATGCAGATAGGTTGGAAAACTGGTAATGAGAATACACGTTTTTATCTTCAGATCATGACTATTTTCTTAGCTGGATAAGAAGCAAGGTCATCATCTGAGAATAAAAAGAAGGGGGCAGAGTAAGAAGGCTGAGAAATGAGAAGATTCCACTATGGTTGTCTTGGATAATGAGAGAATCAAAAAACGTGGCAAGGTTGCCAGGGAAAATAGAAAGTTCACTTGAGGTTTGTGGTCACAAATTTGAGGTTAGACCAGACAGTATGGTTGACTATTTTTCTCCCGTTCACTATCAGTGACCCTGCTGTAGGGACGAAATAGGCACGGTTGGGTTTGAGGACTGAGTTTGGCTGGCTGAGAATGACAGAAGGGCCAGAAAGGTGAGGATTTGCAAGAAGATGATTACAGCTTCAGATTCTGGAATCTAAGCTGAGTGGTGAGGAAGGAAGGAAGGCATAAAGGGATGGGGACTCTAAAAAGGAATGGGCTCAATGACCCAGAGGTGCAGATGTAGTCAGAAATATATATAGACTAGGGATTAGAAAAGATCTGCCAGTTCCTACTTTGACACATTTGGACAAGTTTCTTAGTTTTTTGCTCTCATTTTTCTTCATTTGTAAAGCAGGGAAAATAATATCTACCTCATAAGGTTGATGCAACAAAAATATGTTAATTGCCTAGAATAATTAACATTTACAAAGAGATCTAGTACTGGCACACAGTATTTGCTGAAAATCTTCTTAGTAAGGTTTTCTACTTTTGATGGTTAAGGCATTGGTATAATTTGAACTATGTCTACAAAATACCAAATATCTTTATAAAAAAAGAAAATTCTGGCAATAACTGGATTGTTATTTTACCCAGTTTGGAAAAAATCTGGATTATGCCAGTTCTTAAGAATTTATTTAAACATTGGGAATTGTATAAACATATTTAAGCCATTATGAGACCTTTGTCTCAGAGACTGTGGGGGAATGAGAGAGGTGGAAATAGGAGATGGGGTGGTAGCTTCAATTTTAGGTATACATCCAAACTTTATAGAAAACAATCCTTTTTGTGTTTGCCTTACAAATCTCAAATCAACAAGTTCATCTTCATTGGTCTGGTATGTCAATGAGTTAAATTACACTTTCTGACATATGTTCTAAGCTTCATAGACATATGTTCTAAGCTTCATAGAGAAAACTGCAATTCCATAATTACATTTCAAAGAGCAATCTATACCAATACCAATACTAAATTTATTATCTCCTCCCTACGCTTATAGTGTCTTTTGTATTTTCTTTCTTGGTGTGTTGGTCCATCTCCCAAGCTAGAAAATCAAGAGATATTGAAGCTTCATCTTTCCTTTTTCTCTTACCTTCCACACCTGATTAATTGCCCATTTCAGGTGTCATTGCTACGTCCTAGGTAGCATAGCCTTTACACCTGCCAGCTCCATCTCCATGACACTATCTCTGCTCATCTTCGTCTCTCAACTGTATTCCTCACCAACCTTTACATATCTTCCTCTAATTTTTCTTCCTCTGAGCCAATATCAGTGGTATTTGACCTTAATCATGTTGCATCACTGACCTTTTGAGAATAAAATTTTTGACATTCTTTTCAGAAAAGAAAGCTCATGTGCACACAGACATGGCTTTTCACCTACAAGTTTAAGGTATTCATCTCATCACATCTGTGGACTTCTTCGTGTTCAGGGATACCAAGTAACAAACTATAGCATCATCTCTGGTCCAGGGTGAGTTTTAGAAATTGCAGCTCTCACAGCACTCCCCTCCTAAGTAACTTCATGTCAGGTTGTTGCTGAAGTTAAGACTCCTCAGTGTAGACTCAAAGCCCATCCAACTGCTGCCCCAAATTTTTTTCCAGATGCAGCTTCTTACATCTATAACTGAAACACATCAAATGTAAAACTTGCCCTGTGTTTGATATCTCTGTTCTCTCCATGCCTATCATGGTACCCAGTACTGAGAAAATTTAATAAGCATGTTGGGACACAGGAAAGAAAGGATTTTTATTGATCCTGTTTTCCAGAGTAATATTCAAAAGGCAACATTCCCAAGAAGAACATGGGCAATGGCAAACATCTTTGGCAAATACTAATAACAACTTTACAAATCCGACTAATCTCTGTCTCCTCAGCTCCGCTCACTAGATCGATACTGGAATCTATTATTTTAGTGCATTTCCACCTCCACTCTCCAAACCGTATTTCCCCAGAGACTCTACAGTTCACTGATTTTTTAGCTTATTAAAGTCATACCACTGATTTCTCATTCTAAAATGTTCTTACAACAATGTGGTTAAGAGAATGGGCTCTGGAGTGAGAAAGTCCAAGATGTGCATCTCTGCTTTATCAGTGATTAGCTGCATGACCTAAGGAACATTATTTAATACATGGGAGCCCCACTTTTCTCATATTTCTCATCTGAAATATGAGTATAATATCTGTTATCTCAATAAATAAAATATTATTTTCAAATTGTTTATCACATTGCCTGGCACATAGTTAGTGGTTAATAAATATTAGATGTTTTATACTAAAATATGATATTAAGGTTCCTTCTAAGCCCATGAGTCTATGATTGAAGCCAAATTATTAGTCCAGAACTCACTGGTATCCTGGGCAGGAGGGGGAAACCAACAATTTCTTATTGAGCAGTTGCTATGTGCTTGGCTATTTAAAATTCATTGTCTGCTTATCTTCATAGCACTCCCAAAACAGTTTATTAGTAATCCCTTTTAAACATGAGGCCATTATTAGTTTATTAGTAATCCCCTGTAAACATGAGGCTACAAAGTTTAAGTCATGTGCCTAAGTTACAGAGAGAGTAGCTTGCAGAGCTGGGACTAATCACCTCCGTGTGTTAGAATCTGAGCTGTACAGAAGGCTTTGTCCTTAATCTCTACACTGCTTATGAGTAAACCCCCGCATTACGTCTTTCACTGGAGATAGCACTTTTCTGTTGCTTCTCCTTCTGCCAAGATGGTGTTTTACATGGATGCTAAAACCAGGACTGGAGATCTGTTGCCTGTACAGAGCCCACAAAAGCCTAAACAAAAGAGTGGTTTGAAGGTCCATCTCTGCTTGGTGGTCTATAGTTTTTCAGTATTAATAATCAGTAGAGAACCGTTTCTAGAAAAACTGCAATGTTCCACTGAGTTCTGGATTAATGGTTTAACTGTAGTTATGGGGTTAGAAGAGACCTTAGGATCCTATCCAAAAGTCTGCTGAATTGATTAAAGCCAAACATTTAGAAAGATATGGCTTCATAGACAGTTTTCTTTAGGAGGTTCCACACCATGCTTTGAAAGTAAACCTCACCTTGTCTTAAAGATTCAGTGTTTTAAACCTGATACCCGAGAATCTCAACTTCCCTTTTACGGAATGGCTGAGACTTATCTGTAGAGGAGGCACACCCAGTTAACTCAAATGCTCATCTGGAATAATTGCTCACAAGAAAGTGAGAATTGGATGATAAAGTTGAAATAACCATAACCGTTGAAGAAAGACGGCACTTCTCATTAATAAAATCATCAGGGAAGGCAAAACGTTTGAGAGGTAAACCCCAAATATCCAGAACACAGACCTAGAAGAAAAGAGGGTACAGGAAGTCCAGGAGATCTTCAAATGTGCCATTCTGATTTTTGCAGTGGTCAGTGATTACAGGGCGCATCGCAAGAGGTTGAAAGCTGAAGAAAACAGCGGGAGTCCATTAAAAGTTATCTGACGGGCTCAGCTTTAAAGATCATGAAAAAGAGATGGAAAGAAGGGCATGTAACCACAGAATCAAATGGGAAAATGGTACAGAGGTGCCCAGAAAATCAATAGAGGAAGTTCTAAGGGGATCACCCTTGCTGGTTTATGCCTTCATCCAATTGTTTAGCAACATCGATTGAACATCTGGCTCTACCAGGAACTGAACAAAGACTTTCCCTCAAGTGTGAGCTTGAGCGTTAGGTTCTTCAGTTCCTTCTGATTCCCTGTGATCCAGCTCGTGCTTATTGTCTTTATTTTCTGAGTCTTGCCTCTATGGCCCCCCTCCTCTCTGAAAGCAAGGCCACTTGAGTCGTGCCTTTCTGAATGAAGTCAATGTCTGTGCCAGTCAATGCACAATTGTCGCTTATGACCTTCCTGAGGTTTCCTGTTTCCTCCTAATACATTAGAAGAACAAATCAATAAAGTCTGTGTCCCAGTACCTTGGGTAACTGCCATCTTCATGGTTACATCACTATCCAGGGTGACTGTGAAGCAGTGGGGCGCTTAACCCCAGGAGCAGTGGGAGGACTGGGTTGGGCTCATTGGAGTCTCACACAGGGATGGTGAAATGGCTCCTGGCTGATATAGAAGCACAAGACTCCCCCACCACATGGTGATTTGTATTCAGCAGCAGCCCCCTCCCTTGGCACCAGGCAGATGGGTCCCCAGGAGAGATCCAAGGAAGAAGGAAGGGGCTGTTGTCCTTGACAAGGAAACGATTGATGTCTCTGCTTTCTCACCCTCTTTAAATTGAGATGGGGACAAGATTAAAAGTTCAGGCAGGAAGCCAAGTGGTGATTTACAACACTGAGCAACCAGCCTAGTGTGTGAGGAAGCCTGTGGTCCATCTCTCAAGAAATGAGCTGCCTGGATATTTGAAATGTTCACTATTCTTGCTAGAATCTGGACATTAAGGCCCTGTCATGACAATAATAATGACAAAAATAGCAAGGAAAAATAAATAATAATAAACCCGATATATTGTATGTTATATGCAATGTCCTGTATTTTATAATTGTTATCTCTAAATTCTTACAATGATAGTGAAAGGCAGGTACAATTACCCCCATTTTATAGATAAGGTAACTGAGGCTCAGAAAAGTTAAGAAACTTGATTGAGGTAACACAGTTAGCAAGGAGTAGAACCAGGATTCCAAGCCAAGTAGCCCTGGCTCCAAAGCATGTACTATTCTGTTGCACTGCATTGGCTGATGCATAACGACATGGTTGGCTTTTCTCAGGACATAGATACAGTTGAAGCACAGTCTCAGGACACAGATACAGTTGAAGCACAGTCTCAAGTTGGTGTGACCACCTGCTTAGTTAAGGGTTCTCTGGGGTGTATGAAACTAGGCCAGGCCTCTTGTTGCTTAGGTGCCAAGGGTGATGGAGCTCACTCCCTCTGTCCTATGACACTGCAGACTTTGCTGTAGGAGCCTTTGCAGTCCCTTGTCCTGCCTTTGGCTTTGTGTCATGTAGTGGAACCTCTTTCAGTTGTAAAGTTTTCACAGGGAGAGCAAAGCCAAAAATGGGGTTAGGAAAGGGGTATCAAGAACAGGCACTGAGAAATGTGTCTGACACTGACATCTCTAGCAAAAGTAAGGACAGTGGTATCAAGGTAGGTCAAGGTCAGGTATCAAATGGACAAGATATCAACAATTTATAAACATTATGTCCAGGATAAAAAAGGGAATGTATTAAAATAAATTAAAGGTAGATCTGAGGTCAGAGTTGTCAGGAAGATGAGACAGGTAATAATAAGACCAGTTAAGGGAAGTAGAAAGTAGGTTGTTCTAGAAACATGAGAACTTTCATGAATAGTTTATGACCATGCAGGGTTTCTCTGTAGAAAGTTCCACACCCTGCTTTGAAAGTAAACCTCACCTTGTCTTAAAGATACAGTATGTGAAACCTGATACTTGACAATCCCATCTTCTTTTTTATGGAGTGGCTGAGACTTACTTGTAGGGAAAGCACACCCAGTTAACTCAAATGCTTAGAACACTGTAGTGGAAGGTCAATGCACGTGATCAATCCCCATGAGAGCCAGTTAGGTTAGTTCTGTCTCAATGCCACATCCCAGCCTTCAGCCTTTGGCAGCTCTCTGGGGGAAATAAATGCCATTAATTAGAAGGGGCACCAGGCAAGTTTGTGTGTACTGAGCAACAAAAACCCATTCTTTCTCTTTGAAAGGATCTCAAAGCTCACAGTGAAACAGCAGCATGTTCCTTTCACAAGGACAGCAGAGAATTTGGGGGTTTATCAAAGAACATAACCATCTCATTTCTCTCCAAGAGATAGCAGATTTAAGGTCTAATATGATTATTTATGTTTATTTAATTCACAATATGATTATTTAATCGTGTTGCATTGATCTTTGAACTCCTTTAATTCAATAACTTTGAGTTGCTCTTCTCACACTCAAGTACAAATAACTAGACATAGACACTTCACAGATCGGCAGATTATTCTGCATTGCCCTCTCAATCTCACCTATTTTTTTAAAAGTTTTTTTAAACTATAACTCTTTTCTGTGCTAACATAAAGCATGCTTCCTTGGCCTTTTAGGCAAAAATATAACCTTGAGGATCCCAAGTGAACTTGTCTTCATTTAAACTGGAGAGATTACTCCTTGGAGGTTTTCTGTGTCACCATGTCTTCCTTCTTCTCACTTTGCTCACTCCTATTGGGTGAAGTGAGCTTCATCTGGTATTTTATGATTTGAGTGGTTAATTCTTCTGATTCTGAACAAAAGACTACACTTCATTCTGATAATTTGTACCCTCCAGGCTTTCCTCCTGAGTAGTTCCTTTCCAACCTCTTTGGAGAATGATGGGAAAAGTCTATTTACTCAGTACTCCTCATGGGTGAAAGCTCTTCCAAGCTATAAATAAAACAAATTTAACTTGTACAGGGTTACTAATGCTATGGAGAGACAAATAAAGGAGCTTGCTGCCTTCTGGCTGCAGGAATCAGGCCAAGGATTTTCACAAAATAGCCCAGGACTCTAATGTATGAAGAGTCTTATTATGATAAGAATTTAACAATAATAATTCCATTTTTGTTGCAGACATTCTTATTCAAAAGAAAGAACACCGAAATTGACCTTACCCTGACAATATGATGGCTGAAGGATTTATGATCACTTATAACATTTGAAATTGAGGCGGAACCTGAAGAATAAGACTCTGGTGAAAGGTCCTATTTATGCTTTTGATGTCTTTCACTTGGACATTTACCACATGCCTATTGGTAGGTTTGTTACATAGGTCAGTTAAGGTGATACAAGAATAAATAAAACACTATCCCTATCCTTTAATATCATTTATTTATGGGGTCAATCACAGATTTTCATTTTTCAAAATCTTTGATAAATGTCAGAATTATGTTTTTTAATATTTTTACAGAATTATTACAATATATGGTAGAGGATGGAAGGCAAGGTAGTATGAAACGGAAAAGATATTTTGAATTAAGGTATTTGGACCTGGATTAATATTTTTGCTTTGGTCTTTATTAGCTGAGTGACCTTGAGAAAGTTCTTCTACTAAAAAAGAACAAAGATAATAATTACTTCATGAAATTGCTGTAAAAAACACATAACAAGTATATCCAGACTCAACAGTGTATGCTCAAAAATGCAGATCCTTTTTCCCTTACCTGCAAATAAAGTCTTACAGTAATACAGTGGGGGTAAAGGTTTAAACTGGTGGATTCAAGAAGGGCTATAGAAAGAGGTAGCATCTTAATAGGGGAAGGAGAGGATCCAAGAAATCAGATCCATTTTCTACAAAAAGAAATGGGAAGACAGATAATTCAAGAAGAAAAGTTTACATGATTAAAGACCCGAAGTTAGAAATAGTGATGTGTCTCAATAGTAAGTTAGGAATTGGGGTGGACACAATTGTTGGAAGAAGGATGGTTTCAGCAAAGGCCCAAGTTAGGTGACAATTTCAAGTGTTTGTGAAGATATATGAACAAAATTATAAAGTAGTTAGGGTATAAGAAATAGGGAGGAGGGAATGAATTAACATTTATGGAGTGTCTTGCATGTTCCAAGCACTGTACTACTTGCCTTATAAACCTTTCTTCAATAAACGCCTACAACAATCCTGAGATGTGGAATTATTAGTTCCTCAATGGACCCAGAGAGTTTCAATTATGTGCTTAAGAACACAGAGTTAGTAAAGGACAGAGACAGAATTCAAATTAAGCCTATGTTACTCCACATCCTATGCATTCACTAAACCTCTCAAGAAAACCAATTTATTGGACCTTTTAATCATTTAAGAATGAGATGATAGGGGGCGGTTCCAAGATGGCCAAATAGGAACAGCTCCAGTCTACAGCTCCCAGCATGAGCGACGCAGAAGACGGGTGATTTCTGCATTTCCAACTGAGGTACTGGGTTCATCTCACTGGGGCTTGTTGGACAGTGGGTGCAGGACAGTGGGTGCAACCCACCGAGCATGAGCCGAAGCAGGGCGAGGCATCGCCTCACCTGGGAAGTGCAAGGTGTCAGGGAATTCCCTTTCCTAGCCAAGGAAAGCTGTGACAGACACCTGGAAAACTGGGTCACTCCCACCCTAATACTGCGCTTTTCCAACGGTCTTAGCAAATGGCACACCAGGAGATTATATCCCGCACATGGCTCAGAGGGTCCCATGCCCAGGGAGCCTTGCACATTGCTGGCACAGTGGTCTGAGATTGAACTGCAAGGCAGCAGCGAGGCTGGGGGTAGGGCGCCCACCATTGCTGAGGCTTGAGTAGGTAAACAAAGTGGCCGGGAAGCTGGAACTGTGTGGAGCCCACCACAGATCAAGGAGGCCTGCCTGCCTCTGTAGACTCCACCTATGGGGGCAGGGCATAGCTGAACAAAAGTCAGCAGAAACCTCTGCAGACTTAAATGCCCCTGTCTGACAGCTTTGAAGAGAGTAGTGGTTCTCCCAGCATGGAGTTTGAGATCTGAGAACGGACAGACTGCCTCCTCAAGAGGGTCCCTGACCCCTGACTGGCTGAACTGGGAGGCACCCCCCAGTAGGGGCAGACTGACACCTCACACGGCCAGGTACCCATCTGAGATGAAGCTTCCAGAGGAACGATCAGGTAGCAACATTTGCCGTTCAGCAGTATTCGCTGTTCTGCAGCCTCCGCTGCTGATACCCAGGCAAACAGGTCTGGAGTGGACCTCCAGCAAACTCCAACAGACCTGCAGCTGAGGGTCCTGACTGTTAGAAGGAAAACTAACAAACAGAAAGGACACCCACACCAAAACCCCATCTGTACGTCACCATGATCAAAGACCAAAGGTAGATAAAACCACAAAGATGGGGAAAAAACAGAGCAGAAAAACTGAAAATTCTAAAAATCAGAGCCCCTCTCCCCCTCCAAAGGAATGCAGCTCCTTGCCAGCAATGGAACAAAGCTGGACTGAGAATGACTTTGATGAGTTGAGAGAAGAAGGCTTCAGAAGATCAAACTTCTCCGAGCCAAAGGAGGAAGTTTGAACCCATCGCAAAGAAGCTAAAAACCTTGAAAAAAGATTAGACGAATGGCTAACTAGAATAACCAGTGTAAAGAAGTCCTTAAATGACCTGATGGAGCTGAAAACCATGGCACAAGAACTACGTGACGAATGCACAAGCTTCAGTAGCTGATTCTATCAATGGGAAGAAAGGGTATCAGTGATTGAAGATCAAATTAATGAAATGAAGCGAGAAGAGAAGTTTAGAGAAAAAAGAACAAAAAGAAACGAACAAAGCCTCCAAGAAATATGGGACTATGTGAAAAGACCAAATCTACGTCTGATTGGTGTACCTGAAAGTGACTGGGAGAATGGAACCAAGTTGGAAAACACTCTGCAGGATATTATCCAGGAGAACTTCCCCAATATAGCAAGACAGGCCAACATTCAAATTCAGAAAATACAGAGAACACCACAAAGATACTCCTTGAGAAGAGCAACTCCAAGACACATAATTGTCAGATTCACCAAAATTGAAATGAAGGAAAAAATGTTAACGGCAGTCAGAGAGAAAAGTCAGGTTACCCACAAAGGGAAGCCCATCAGACTAACAGCTGATCTCTTGGCAGAAACTCTGCAAGCCAGAAGAGAGTAGGGGCCAATATTCAACATTCTTAAAGGAAAGAATTTTCAACCCAGAATTTCATATCCAGCCAAACTAAGCTTCATAAGTGAAGGAGAAATAAAATCCTTTACAGACAAGCAAATGCTGAGAGATTTTGTCACCACCAGGCCTGCCCTAAAAGAGCTCCTGAAGGAAGCACTAAACATGGAAAGGAACAACCGGTACCAGCCACTGCAAAAACATGACAAATTGTAAAGACCAGTGATGCTAGGAAGAAACTGCATCAACTAACAAGCAAATTAACCAGCTAACATCATAATGACAGGATCAAATTGACACATAACAATGTTAACCTTAAATGTAAATGGGCTAAATGCTCCAATTAAAAGACACAGACTGGCAAATTGGATAGAGTGAAGACCCATCAGTGTGCTGTATTCAGGAGACCCATCTCACATGCAGAGACACACATAGGCTTAAAATAAAGGGATGGAGGATGATCTACCAAGCAAATGGAAAACAAAAAAAGGCAGAGGTTGCAATCCTAGTCTCTGATAAAACAGACTTTAAACCAGCAAAGATCAAAAGAGACAAAGAAGGCCATTACATAATGGTAAAGGGATCAATTCAACAAGAAGACCTAACTGTCCTAAACATATATGCACCCAATACAGGAGCACCCAGATTCATAAATCAAGTCCTTAGAGACCTACAAAGAGACTTAGACTCCCACACAATAATAATGGGAGACTTTAACACCCCACTGTCAACATTAGACAGATCAACGAGACAGAAAGTTAAAAAGGATATCCAGGAATTAAACTCAGCTCTGCACCAAGTGGACCTAATAGACATCCACAGAACTCTCCACCCCAAATCAACAGAATATACATTCTTCTTAGCACCACATCACACTTATTCCAAAATTGACCACATAGTTGGAAGTAAAGCACTGCTCAGCAAATGTAAAAGAACAGAAATTATAACAAACTGTCTCTCAGACCACAGTGCAATCAAACTAGAACTCAGGATTAAGAAACTCACTCAAAACCGTTCAACCGCATGGGAACTGAACAACCTGCTCCTGAATGACTACTGGGTACGTAACGAAATGAAGGCAGAAATAAAGATGTTCTTTGAAACCAATGAAAACAAAGACACAACATACCAGAACCTCTGGGACACATTTAAAGTAGTGTGTAGACGGAAATTTATAGCATTAAATGCCCGCAAGAGAAAGCAAGAAAGATCTAAAGTTGTCACCCTAACATCACCATTAAAAGAACTAGAGAAGCAAGAGCAAACACATTCAAAAGCTAGCAGAAGGCAAGAAATAACTAAGATCAGAGCAGAACTGAAGGAGACAGAGACACCCTTCAAAAAATCAATGAATCCAGGAGCTGGTTTTTTGAAAAGATCAACAAAATTGATAGACCGCTGGCAAGATTAATAAAGAAGAAAAGAGAGAAGAATCAAATAGATGCAATAAAAAATGATAAAAGGGAGATCACCACCAATCCCACAGAAATACAAACTACCATCAGAGAATACTATAAACACCTCTACACAAATAAACTAGAAAATCTAGAAGAAATGGATAAATTCATCAACACATACATGGTCCCAAGACTAAACTAGGAAGAAGTTGAATCCCTGAATAGACCAATAACAGGCTCTGAAATTGAGGCAATAATTAATAGCCTACCAACCAAAAAAAGTCCAGGACTAGACGGATTCACAGCAGAATTCTACCAGAGGTACAAGGAGGAGCTGGTACCATTCCTTCTGAAACTATCCTAATCAACAGAAAAACAGGGAATCTTCCCTAACTCATTTTATGAAGCCAGCATCATCCTGATACCAAAGCCTGGCAGAGACACAACAGAAAAGAGAATTTTAGACCAATAACCCTGATGAACATCAGTGCAGAAATCCTCAATAAAATACTGGCAAACCGAATCCAGCAGCACATCAAAAAGCTTATCCACTATGATCAAGTGGGCTTCATCCCTGGGATGCAAAGCTGGTTCAACATATGCAAATCAATAAATGTAATCCAGTATATAAACAGAACCAAAGACAAAAACCACATGATTATCTCAATAGATGCAGAAAAGGCCTTTGACAAAATTCAACAACCCTTCAGGCTAAAAACTCTCAATAAATTAGGTGTTGATGGGACGTATCTCAAAATAATAAGAGCTATTTATGAAAAACCCACAGTGAATATCATACTGAATGAGCAAAAACTGGAAGCATTCCCTTTGAAAACTGGCACAAGACAGGGATGCTCTCTCTCACCACTCCTATTCAACATAGTGTTGGAAGTTTTAGCCAGGGCAATCAAGCAGGAGAAAGAAATAAAGGGTATTCAATTAGGAAAAGAGGAAGTCAAATTTTCCCTGTTTGCAGATGACATGATTGTGTATTTGGAAAACCCCATCATCTCAGCCCAAAATCTCTTTAGGCTGATAAGCAACTTCAGCAAAGTCTCAGGATACAAACTCAATGTGCAAAACTCACAAGCATTCTTATACACCAATAACAGACAAACAGAGAGCCAAATCATGAGTGAACTCCCATTCACAACTGCTTCAAAGAGAATAAAATACCTAGGAATCCAACTTACAAGGGATGTGAAGGACCTCTTCAAGGAGAACTACAAACCATTGCTCAATGAAATAAAAGAGGACACAAACAAATGGAAGAACATTCCATGCTCATGGATAGGAAGAATCAATATGGTGAAAATGGCCATACTGCCCAAGGTAATTTATAGATTCAATGCCATCCCCATCAAGCTACCAATGACTTTCTTCATAGAATTGGAAAAAACTACTTTAAAGTTCACATGGAACCAAAATAGAGCCCTCATTGCCAAGACAATCCTAAGCCAAAAAAACAAAGCTGGAGGCATCATGCTACCTGACTTCAAACTATGCTACAAGGCTACAGTAACCAAAACAGCATGATACTGTTACCAAAACAGAGATATAGATCAATGGAATAGAACAGAGCCCTCACAAATAATACCACACATCTACAACCATCTGATCTTTGACAAACCTGACAAAAACAAGAAATGGGGAAAGGATTCCTTATTTAACAAACGGTGCTGGGAAAACTGGCTAGCCATATGTAGAAAGCTGAAACTGGATCCCTTCCTTACACCTTATACAAAAATTAATTCAAGATGGATTAAAGACTTATGTGTTAGACCTAAAACCATAAAAACCCTAGAAGAAAACCTAGGCAATACCACTCAGGACATAGGCATGGGCAAGGACTTCATATCTAAAACACCAAAAGCAATGGCAACAAAAGCCAAAATTGACAAATGGGATCTAATTAAACTAAAGAGCTTCTGCACAGCAAAAGAAACTAACATCAGAGTGAACAGGCAACTTACAGAATGGGAGAAAATTTTTGCAGTCTACTCATCTGACAAAAGGCTAATATCCAGAATCTACAAAGAAATCAAACAAATTTACAAGAAAAAAACAAACAACCCCATCAACAAGTGGGCGAAGGATATGAACAGACACTTCTCAAAAGAAGACATTTATGCAGCCAAAAGACACATGAAAAAATGCTCACCATCACTGGCCATCAGAGAAATGCAAATCAAAACCACAATGAGATACCATCTCACACCAGTTAGAATGGCGATCATTAAAAAGTCAGGAAACAGCAGGTGCTGGAGAGGATGTGGAGAAATAGGAACACTTTTACACTGTTGGTGGGACTGTAAACTAGTTCAACCATTGTGGAAGTCAGTGTGGCGATTCCTCAGGGATCTAGAACTAGAAATACCATTTGACCCAGCCATCCCATTACTGGGTGTATACCCAAAGGATTATAAATCATGCTGCTATAAAGAAACATGCACACGTATGTTTACTGCGGCACTATTCACAATAGCAAAGACTTGGAACCAACCCAAATGTCCATCAATGATAGGCTGGATTAAGAAAATGTGGCACATATACACCATGGAATACTATGCAGCCAGCCATAAAAAAGGATGAGTTCATGTCCTTTGTAGGGACATGGATGAAGCTGGAAACCATCATTCTCAGCAAACTATTGCAAGGACAAAAAACCAAACACCACATGTTCTCACTCATAGGTGGGAATTGAACAAAGAGAACACTTGGACACAGGATGGGGAACATCACACACCAGGGCCTGTCGTGGGGTGGGGGGATGGGGGAGGGATAGCATTAGGAGATATACCTAATTTAAAAGACGAGTTAATGGGTGCAGCACACCAACATGGCACATGTATACATATGTAATAAACCTGCACATTGTGCACATGTACCCTAGAACTTAAAGTATAAAAAAAAAAAAGAATGAGATGACAGAAGACTATTTCAGTCTTCTATCTACCCTATTTCAGGGTAGTAGCCACAAAAAAAAAAAAAAAAAAAAAAAAAGGAGATAAAGGGGTGAGTGGATGGATGGACAAATAAATGGAGAGATAGATGGGCAAATAAATAAACACGAAGATGGATAACAAAATGGATATATGGAAAGTCAAATAATGAGTGGATGATTGCAAGAGGTGTGGAGGTAAGCTCAACACATGAAAGAACTGGAAGAAGGAGGAATTAAATATAACATCTGGTGCTGGAACATCTAGTAAAATCTGACAGCGTTAATGAAGAAAAACACAAGAAGAAAGAACAAGTTGCTAAAAAAGGGGAGGAAGAAGTCAGTTCTGTGACACAGAATAAAAAATTTTTATGGGAATTATCGCTGAAACATTGCTAAATGTGAATATGCTTGAGCACTGGATGATTTGCATAGACAGAGTAGCCTCTTTTTCCCAGAGGTAGGTTCTCCTGCTGGGTATGGACAGACAAACTGGCTGGCCCTCAGCTTGCATGGAAAAATTTGAGCCAAGATGGTCACAGAAGTCACCATCCTGCTCACATCTGGATTCCGATGGAAGCAGTCAATTAGTGAAAAAAAAATTGGGACATAAATTATTCAAATGTTTGGCAAGCAAAAGAACAGGTTGTTTCTCCTTATAAACTCTGTGTTAGAGCCGTGTGAAAACAGATCACCCATAAAGAATGCTTTCTGAGGATTCTGGGGGTGTCTTTCAGTTGGTAAGAATGTTCATTCATATTTGAGGTCCAGTTCCAATGTAAGCTCCTGTCTGAAACCTTCCTCATCTGTATGGACTTGACTGGGTCAACTTAGTTCAAGTAGACTTATGCCTCCTAGAATTTCCTTTCCTACATTGTTTCAAGTTAGCATGGGTCATAGGAGACATTTTGCATGAGTTTTGGAAGGTTGAATTAAAGCAGAAGCCGTAGTTAGTTCACACTCAGAGGGTCAATGAAGGAACACCAGGTGCTATTGTAAACCATGTCCATTGCTACTTATCTGCTTGCAAACCTTGTTGGTCTGGGCCAACAGCCAGACCAGCAGCAATTCCACCTCCCAATGGATCCTTCTTCAGTTTTTTTAACTCCTGGCTTGCATGTGAATTTAGTGCATGAAGAGACACCACTTCTTCAGGACTCAAACATTACTAAAGTTAGAGGCTGGAAGACAATGAGAAACTGAGGCAGATTCTAGGCCATTCTCCATCTTTGCAGGCTCCAGTTCATCCTTGCTCTCCCACACTTCATATCAACTTCCTTGCCCAACTCTCTGTCCTGCTGACTTCAGGCTCCAGAACTAGTAGTGGCAAGGAAGGTCACTAGTTTGCAAACTATGACCTGCAGAGCAAACCCAACCCACTGCCTGTTTTTGTAAATGCAATTTTATTGGCACGTAGCCAGACCCATGTGTTTATTAATTGCTTGGGGCTGCTTCTGTGCTACAGAGATCATATGTCTTCCAAAGCCTAAAATATTTATTATCTGCTCCTTTAAAGAAAAGGTTTGCCAAATCTGAGCAAAGACAATAACCATACACAGACTGTTAAACCAACTTCCACAATCATGTAAGGTCAAATCCCTAAATGTGCATGTGCATATATATGTATGTACATTCACGTGTGTGTGTATATATGTATGTACATTCACGTGTGTATATATGTATATTATATATACATGAATGTTTGTATGCATGCATATATGTATATGTTTGTGAATATACATATATTTATCAGTTTCATTTCTCTGATCAAACCTTGATTATCACCCAATCTCTACTCCATTAATATTTGGAAACCAAGAAAACTGAATGCCTCCTTCTCTGTTGCCACAGTGTTTTGCTATTAGAGCACTTGCCATATTGAATTATAATCGGTTTGTATCTCTATTTGTGTCTCTTTTACTAAATAATGAAATCTTAGAAGTGCCCTTTCTCCAATGATAGTAAAAAAGAATAACTGAATAAGGAAATGACTAAGCAATGAGTGAATGAATAAATGTAGAAAAAGACAAATAGATGTTTTTCTTTCCTTCGTTTGGCCTTTCTAGCTTTTGTGCATCCCCATGGCCACATACCAGCACACAGAGCCAGAGTTTGGCAGACTAATGTTTAACTCTGGGCAGCTCCAACTGGGCTACCCTCTGCCTTGATGCTGGTGCAGCCTGCTCAGCATGAGGGACCGTGGAGTCCCTTTCCAGGTTGTATTGTGCTCTATGCCTTGACAGAAACCAAGGCCAGCTTTGGGTAGGCAGTGCTCCACTTTGACAGAGGTGCGGTTGCTGCAGATGGCCTTAAATACCTCCAGTGGCTGTGGCCCTCTGCCAAGGCTGCTGTAGGAGCTGGCAGGTGCTTGAAAGGGGCCTCTGGCATTTGGAAAGCACCTGGACTTTGTCAAGCATTTTCATTCTCATGGACTTAGTTGGAATTTATGAGGGCAAAGGACTTAGAGAAGAACTCAGTGAGAACTGGGGTTCCTCCACAACCTTGGTCAAGTCACGTAAACTGTTTGTGTTTCAGTTTCTCTACCAGCCAAGCTCTGAAGTGCTATGATTTTGTGATTAAGAACTCAGCATCAGACTGATGGCTTGTGGCTCCTACTTATAGAGGTTTTCTGTTCCCCATGTTGCCTCTTAAAAAGAGGCCTCTTCCAGAGGTTGCAGTGAGCCAAGATCGCACCACTGAACTCCAGCCTGGGCGACAAGAGTGCGACTCTGTCTCAAAAAAAAAAAAAACAAAAAGCAAAACAAAACCAAAAAAAAAAAAAACAAAAACAGGCCTCTTCAGAGAGGAGAATGGGTAAGAGGTACCTAATAAACTGGAATTTACTATACTGAAAGATATTTTAAATAAAAATGAGTGTAACTAGCATTTACTGAGAACTTACGTGCCAAAATCTCCACTCAGCATTTTAAGTGCATTACCTTAAGGAAATTAGGATTGGTTGCTACTGCCTTTAGAAGCTGGTGTGTGGTGTGTGTGTATGTCTTAGAATATTCTCCATATGGAGCAGCAACAGTCAATTCAAACAGTGTGTTAAATTGTTTTCACTGTTCTAGGTCATATGTGCCTTTTCTGCATGTGTGCATGCATGTCTCCAGTATTCGTTTTTAATAGCAAAAAGAATCACACTACGGTGTATTGAGTACCTGCCATGTGCCAGGCACTATGCCAAGCTCTCTACCTTCATATGATTGCATTTAATCTTCTAACAACCTAACATAATGGGTATTATTCCTATGTTACTGTAGAAGAAACTAGGGATCAGAGAAGCTAAGTAATTCACATGAAGTCACACAGCCAGGAAGTGACATCCTAAATTCAAACTCAAGTCTGTTTGACTCAAAAGCAATGTTATTTCTCCTACATTGAGCTGCATCCCATTGCAGTGTGCCTGGAAAAGGTCAGAATATCCTGCTGATATGAACATGCCCCTAAATGCCTCAGTGCTAATCCTATGAGTGAGACCTTTGTGAGCATCTTAATAGGTAGATCTGTGGCTACAACCCATAGCCAGACATTTCAAGAATGGTATTAATTGTCTACAACACAAGAGAAAGATTATTTATCGTCAAAGCTGTGCGGGACTTGGGGAGCAGCACTCATGTTCTTCCAGGTAAGGACACTGAACCTAGAGAAGTGAGCTGCTTGGCCAAGTTCACCCGGAGTTAGAGCTTAAATCTAGGTTTCTCTGTCAGCTCATCTTTCTACTCCACTGCCACTTCCTCCCTTGCACTTCTGCCTTCCTCAGAAATTTTAATTGAGCATGTGAATGTGAGAGTTGGGGGGTGTGTGTGTGTGTGTGTGTGTGTGTGTGTGTGTATGTGTGGGTGACAGAAAAAAAAAGATTGCAGGAGAGTGCTGACAGGGAGGAGACCAGGTTGGGAAAGAAAGGCAGAAAGACTAGTATATTTTAAAGCCAGATGTTGCATTTTTAATGGCAGTACAAGAAAGGCAACATCTTGATGGCTTCTCATGATAGATTGAAGCAGAAGCCAGCCTTCCAGTGCTTTTCTGAGGCTTTCTGTCACAGCTTTGCAAAACCTAGAATTGAAAAAACCAATTAATGAATGCCCTGGTGCTTTGGAGGTAGCAAAGACAAAGCAATTGTGTCACAGGGAGCTGAAGCTAGGGCTGCCACTTCATTTCCTTTCCCATGGGAAATCGGAGCATTACCAGCTTTGAGGAGCCTCTGTGATCCTCCGAGTCTGTCTCTCTGCCCCCTGTCTTCTGAATGCATTTAGAATCTAATGATTCTTCTCCTGGCATGAATTGAAGTGATCCACTCCACACACCCCGACTCCAGTCAGCAAGGATTTGTCAGTGAACCCCAAAAACGGTAGGCAGCAAGAGCATAGGATACAGGAAGATACCAGGGTGCCCCAGATTCTAACCCTTCAATATAATAAATAACATGTGAGATGGGGCTGGGAGTGGGCAGGGAAAAGATGCATCATTCACTTTCATCGAGGTCACCATGCCCTTCTCTGCTCTTTTCAGAGAAAAGCTTTTCTTTATACATGCACGCCACACTCACTCACACATGCACACTCCCTGCAAGAAGCCATCAGAGCATTTTGGTCATCTATAGGCCACTCAGCTTCTTCAGAGTTGAGTAAGATTAAAAAAGCCTGACATCTCCAATATTCCTCAGCAACGGTTTATGTACCTGCATAAGCAGATGAAAAAAGGGCTTGGGGATGTATTAAAAAACATGCATGTATATGATGGATGGGGAGAGAGAGCACGCAAGAATCTGATACAGATTAATGGCTCTCTGTATTTTTGGAGTCTTTTTGTTTCAGGCCTATGGTTGTGGCGTATTGGAAGGGTTCTGGAATTTTAGAACACAAAGTAGCAGTTTTAAATAATGAGAGAAGATTCCACATGGAACGCTCATCTGGCTGTGGCAGCCTGTGACTGAATGAGAGAAAAGTGCCCTAGAAGCTATTCATTACGAATTCACTGGAAGCTCTCAAACGAGGCTGGCAGAAGCTGAAATTGAAGTGGTCTCTGACCTAATTTTCTTCTGCATGAAACATCTGCATCAAGGCTCTCTTTGATGTATTCCACTTGGCTCTGTCTACGGGATTGTATCACATGGACTCGGTGTTGCCTCCTTATTGAAAGACATTTCCAGCCTTTGCAAGGTAATGCGATGTTACTGTTACCCAAGCTAATCACTCAATGTGCTCCTAAAATAGAAACAATAGCAGTTCAGAGACAATGTTGTCTGCTGGCTGTTCCTGCAGCTTGGGCTCCTGGTTTTCCAACTGAAATCTGTGGCATTTGCCTCCTGTAATTCCAAAACAAAGGAGAGGGAGAAGAAGGGCAAAGCTATGCAAGATAATGTTGAAGGACCAGCAGCATTATGTGTGAGAAGCTTCATCTTATTTGGTCCTTCAAGCCATTGGGTAGGATTTTGGCACCATTTAAACCACACAGAGCAATACCATAAGAGGTCTGCCTTAAGAAAGAAAAAAAATCTCTTTATTTGGATGTTGCTTTTATTCCAAATTCTGATTGACACCCTCCACTGAGAGAGAGAGAGAGAGAGAGAGAGAGAGAGAGAGAGAGAGAGAGAGAGGTGTGTACTGAATGTTGAGTGTTTTGTGATTCTTTAGTGATCTATGAACTACTTTTAAAAATTGTCTTTCCCCTCTTAAGCTCTCCCAACCTAGGTGGAATGCAGGAGTGAATTTTAAAAGGAATAATGATAATAATCTTTTTTAAAAGCAACTGTAATGAGGCATCTTCTTTATCCTGGCAGAATAGCTCTTGCCTTTCTCCATAAAGGTTTGCTGCACCGTCTTCGTTAATGGTGTGCTGCTGTTCCCCACCATCCCAGCATTATGTGAATAACGGTGGTGTCTTTTGTGTCCCACCCCCTGAAGAAGAAACCTTTGAAATTCTAAATGACTGTGCTGCAGGTTTTAATGTCTGCTTCTGAGAAAGAATTGAGAAATGCGCACTCACTGAGCAAGATGCAGCATGCCTTTGAAAAGCCTTTTCGCCTGACTCCTCTGTCCCACGAATTTAGATGAATATACATTCTTGTAGATGCCCCCTAGTTCTCGTTATGCCAGGAGAGAATGACAGATGTGATCAACAGCCTCCTTTTGCCCAAATATTGATACTCCCATGGACAAATATGTAGTCATTCCTTTCCTTTCTGTGCTTTCTAATCAAACAAAGCAATCAGATATGAAGCATTTGGGGGCAGTAGAATCTCTGAGGTCAGTGGTGATCTGGTTCTCCAACAAGAAGAGACTATGGGTGCACATTGACCTGCTTGTTATGAACCTTCACAGAAGACCCAGGGAAGGTGTTAAGAGTTGGGGCCACGAGGTGGGCATCTTTAATCATCCTCAAGAATTAAAGCAGATATTCCCCTCCTCCAGGATGTCTTCCCTCATTATCCTCATTGTACTGGGGCCTTTCAGGTATGCAACATGACAGAACAACTGTGTTCTCCTCAATCAAAGCACTGAGAATTGTGTATGGTCTGTCTTCTCTAACAGCCTGCGCTGTCTGGAAGGCAGACACTATTTCTTATCTTTGCAGTCACAATGTCCACCACAAATAGGCTGACCAACTCATCTGAATTTGCCCAGCACTTTTCTGGTTTTAGCACAGAAAGTCCAGTGTCCTGGAATTTCCCCTCATTACTGGACAAACCACTGGGTACATATTAAGTGCTCAGTAAATGTGTTAAATGAATTAATATGAAAAATATTGGCCGGGCGCGGTGGCTCACACCTGAAATCCCAGCACTTTGGGAGGCCGAGGCAGGAGGATCACCTGAGGTCAGGAGTTTCAGGCCAGCCTGGCCAACATGGCAAAACCCTGTCTCTACTAAAAATACAAAATTAGCCGGGCATGGTGGCGCATGACTATAATTCCAGCTACTCAGGAGGCTGAGGCAGGAGAATTGCTTGAACCAGGGAGTTGGAGGTTGCAGTGAGCCGAGATCGCACCACTGCACTCCAGCCTGGTGACAGAGCAAGACTCTGTCTAAAAAAAAATAAATAAATAAATAAATAAAAATATTATATCACCTTTATTCCGTGAATAATAAACTCTAGTGTTAGTTTTAAGAAACCTTCATTACCCATGTTGTCTCTCCAGCCATAAGGTTCAAACCTCAACAGAGCCCAGATCTCCCAGTTGTCACACTCACTCAACAAGCAACAGACCTGCTAAGTCCTACAGTCACAGACTCAGAGTCCTGGACTAAGAAGAGAACTTGATGCTGCCTGATGCAAAATGCTGTTCTACGTTCTGACTTCCTTGAGTATTATAAACAAAAAGGAGTTATCTTATCACAAAGGCATGAGTGATAAGGTACAGGGGTGTGAAGAGACAGGAGAGAGAAAGAGACTGTGAAAAGAAGAGGAGAGAAGAAAGACAAAACTCAGATCACTTTTGCTCAGGTCTTTTGGGGATCCAAGGCTTAACACAGCTTGCAAGGCCTCCGTTTTTCTGTCCCAGCCCTGCTTTCTGCTCTGATCTCCAATCATTGCTCCCACGTTCAGTGATTCCTGCTCCAGCCACAGAAGCCTCCCTGCTACTCCTCCAACTGAGAAGCAGGCTACTTCTTGGTCCTTGTACTAAGTACTCCCTGAGTTGGAATGTTTTTCCCCGAGATAGCCATGGAACTTGCACCCTGTATTCATTCAGTCCCTGGCTCAGAGCGCCTTACCTTAATACCCTGTAAACATGAGCCCTGTCCATCTCTGTTCATCCTCTGACCCTGCTTTAATTGTCTTCACAGCCCTTATCACCAGCAGACACATTATAGATTTGTTTATTTTCTATCTAGAGCAATACTAATAGAACATTTTATGGTAGAGGCAACACTCTATATCTGTACTTTTCAATACGGCAGCTAGTAGACGTATGGTGGCCACAAAAGTACTTAAAACTCAAGTATTTGAGTACTTGAGATCACCTAGTGAAATTGATGAAATGCATTTTTAATTTTAAAACTTTTCTTAATTTAATTTAAATTTACATAGCCACTTGTAGCTAGTGGCTACCATTTGGACCTTGTGGTTATAGATGAATCTTGAAAGCAGTTTTTTTCTACTTTGCTTTTTGACATACTTCTTATGAGCAGTTCCTGGTATATAAAGGGCTTTCAATAAATGTTTTTAAATAAACTTATGATTCTAGGCATGAAACAGGCATCTGTGGCTGGGGAACAACCCAAGGAGTCAGACTAATTCTGGATTCCAATCAACCCACGTCATGAGAGGACCCTTCAGACATAGAGTCATCAAAGGGATGTTCTCTGGCCAAATTTCATCATCTCCCTAAACCTCATTTTCTTATGTGTTCAATAGGAATATTTACTTACAGTATCTAAGAGATCTGTCAGTGACTTGATGTTCAACACACTTAGTTCTGTAGTGACACCAAAATCCTATGTGTGAGCACATGGCTATATATATAGGAAAGCACTCCGAAGAACGCTAATTTGTGATATTCTTGCCAGTGATTACTATTTTGGAGGAGGGGGATAATTTATTTGCATTATAAAATAATTCTTTGCCTAACAAAAGAATCTATAACAGGATTCTCTCAAAATAGCTAACTCCACGACGCATTTCAATTAAGAATATATTCTGACAAGTCCAGGGTCCTTGCAATTTATTGCACAATGCAAGGCTTACCTGTATTTTCAAGAATGCATGAGGATGTTCCTTTGACTTGCCTGTGTTCTCATAACATCTCTTTTTCTAGGATTTGGTTTGACTTATTAGTTGCAATCTTGGAAGGGTATAGCATTCATTCCTTTTATTGGTTCGACAAGTATTTATTAAATTCAATGTAGTGCCAACCACTCTTCTTGACACAGGGAATACTTTCACATAATGAAAAATTGAAAAAGATAATCCACGTAAAGCTTTTGAAATAGTACCCAACACTCACTAAGCATTCCATAAATATTAGTTGTTGTTTTTCTTGCTGGTGTTATTATATAGAACTTACAGTCTAGTGGAGGTAAGAGACAAAAAGCAAACATACATATGATCAGAATTATCTCTAATACAAAGTGCTATGGCAAATATAAAACAAGTTATAACCTGTAGCCTTAGGAACAGCACCTGAGATCTGAACCCAGATGGTCCTGCGTTCAGCCATTGGGTAGTGAGATTTCTGATTCCAATTACAAAAGTAGTAACATTACATTTCTGGAATTTTGTTGAGTCTGCCTCCTGCGGGCTTTTATAAAAGTGTAGTCAGACCACTTAAAAGAACAGAGAGCTATGATTTCATCTTGCTAGATGAACTATTTTTTAACCTACCAGCTAATAAATATGGTATATTAGTAAATGTCTGTAGACATGGCCTAAAAAAAAATGAGCTAAATTAAGTGATCAAGAGTTCCTGGAGCAGAAGCCACTTTACATCAGTCAAGGAAGGCTGCTGCTAGGAGGAGGTGCTCTCTCAATAGAAGGAGCCAGATCCAGTCGGAAGGGGCACAGGGTAAATTCCACGTAGGAGCATTTACTGAGTAACTGCTTGGTGCAAACATAACACCGACGGCAATGGAAAGACAAGAAGGAGGGGAAGACAAGTATCTGCCTTCAAGAACGTTACAGTTTGCAGAAGAGTTGAAATGAGTCCACTAATGCTAAAGAAGGTAGAGGCTGTAGGAGAAAGCCTGAAAACACTGAGCTGGAATGGAGAAAGGATCTCGCTTCCCCATCTCACTTGGCTGCCTACTTTTTTTCATCTTGCTGCTTCTTCTCCCTTCCCCCTGCAACAATGCCAGAGTTTGCCCTTAGCCTCCCCAAGGACAATAGAGAAGCAGCCCTTGATGAGGCTGGAGGATCCTCCTGTCTGCCTCCCAGCACACACTTGCCTTGCTTTGACTTTGCTCTATGGAAAATAAATCACAGACACTCAATTCCCAGTCACCGTCCCCAGGGAGCTGAGACCTCACCTCCTCCCTGGAGCCTGCCTGTAACAGGGGATTGTCAGGTACAAAGAGAAAACCTTCAGAGACCCACACCCCATTTGGAGAGCGAAGAGGGTCAATGGGAATAATTGCTAGCAGTTGAATGTGAGCGATTGTAGAGGGATTGGAAGGAAAAGGTTTCAGGAAGGGAAGAAAGAAAAGAAGGGGGGAAAAAAGCCCTCACCCCCCCACCCCCCCCAACCTCCATAGTCTGTGCACAGAGAACTGCATGGTGGTCTGGGTCCTTGTAGAACATTTGTGTGCCGGACAATAGCACAGCCCGGCTTCAGATCATCAGCTGCTGTTTTCTGGTTAGCTCTCCCTTTATGTGAGTGCACAATGCAAGCCTTCAGTCACAGTGACTCTTGAGAAATACATCTGGTTTTTTCTTTCAGACGCTCTGAAAAGGTCAGCCTGTTCGTTTCTTAGACGCGAGACACCACAGATTTTTTTTTCTCCCTCTGAACTGGAAAGACAGACCTACACCTTTTCTTGCCTCCTGGTACATAATTAGACATGGTGCGGCTCTAGAAGCCAGCTAGCCCATCCTCGGCACTCTTTCAGAGACGTGTCGCCCAGCTTCGTGGCTGCCGAACTTCTGCTCTGATCACAAAGGCTCCAAACAGTCCTTCTTCCCCAGCCCAACACCCTGGGGTTCTCTGCTTGTTGTTTTGTTAATTATGACAATGACTCCCCACAGCCTGCTACCCAAACATGGTTCATGACCGATGATGCTGTCCCTGGCAGAGGGAAGACTTGAGAATTTCTGGAGGAAAAAAAAAAACAAAACCCAACAATAACAACAACAAAACCCCACATTTTAATCATTTTCACTCCAGTGATGGTAAAGATTCTTCATGCACACTGTAACATAATAATAAATGTGCCCATGAGGAAAGAATGATCAGCAGCTGGTGTCTGACAAATTATCTCATTCCAGACAGGCAAACAGTCCACAGTGGGGAGAGGCTGGAGCCTGAAGAGGCAATTTGGCACACGATTGGGGTTTACCTCTCAGATGATGGAGGTTCAAATGGCCCACTGCGTCTGGGCCTGGGCCTCCGAGGTTTTCTCTGGCTCTCCTATTCTCCCATCACCTCCTGGAGCTCCTGACAGCCATAGAAAGAGGGATTATTCTCTGGGCTTAGCCAGCCCACCTCTTGGCCCTCCTCCAGGGCACTCATATTCCAGCCATAAGAAGCAATTACAGTCCACTCCCCGCCAGGAGTCGTGCTCTTTCATGCGTGGTACGTGCTGTTTCCTCTCCTCATAATGCCGTGGCGCCCACAGCGCACTCCTATTCTGTGTTCAAAACCCACCTAGATTCCTTCTCTCCTTTTGCTAACGAGTGTTAGTCACTCTCTCTTCCGGAAGCTTCTAGCACCTTTTCTTAGTACTTTTATTACCCCACTTTGTAGCTATTTGTTTTCTGTGGACTTTCTGATGGCAGCTACCATGTGTTTCTAATGAACCTTGAGTGTAAGGTACAATCCTGAGTGTTTTTCTTCTATTAGCTTGTTTAATCCTCCTGACCCGAACAGGGAGGAACTCTTCCCATTTTACCATGAGGAAACTGAGGATTAATTTATTTTGCACCACGGCCCCCACATGATCCCTGAAGCGGTGAGGTGGAGGTAGAAAAGCACAACTTCACCTCTGCTCCTGTCTCCTAGCAGCTGGTGGGCTTACTGGCTTCTCAAGGTTCATCCCCATGTAACATGAAACACCCTGTACCTGCTTTGCCGGATGGCTGTTATGAGGTTTCAAGGTAATATGCTTTGTCTATGTTGTTCTTATCATAGGCCTTGTCTGTGACTTTATTTTTGATAACTATTTTTAATGTCAGTTTCCTTCCAGAATGGAAACTCCCGGAGGGTAAGGACATTGCCTGCCTTGTTTGCACCTATAGTCTCAGTTCCTAGAACACTGCTTGTCACCTGTAGGAGCTCCATACATTTTTTTTTTAATTGAGATAGTCTTGCTCTATCACCCGGGTTGGGGTGCAGTGGTGCCATCTCAGCTCACTTCAACCTCCGCCTCCGAGGTTCAAGCAATTCTCCTGCCTCAGCCTTCCGAGTAGCTGGGATTACAGGCATGTGCCACCACGCCCGGCTAATTTTTGTATTTTTAGTAGAGACAGGGTTTCACCATGTTGGCCAGGCTGGTCTCAAACTCCTGACTTCAAGTGATCGTTTGCCTCGGCCTCCCAAAATGCTGGGATTACAGGTGTGAGCCACTAGGCCCAGCCAGTGCTTCATACATTTTTTGATGAATGAATTGAGCAATATTAAGATAATAACAGTCTTATTTTTAACCTGGGTCCCAACACAGCCCACATCCTGTAAAATAAAGCTCTGGGATAAGATAGCACACACTGAGAGCTAAAAACATTTTAGCAATTATTCCTTGGGTTTCTGACTTAGAGGAACCAACCCAAAGCCCTCCTGAGTATTATTTCCCCTGCTCAGAGTTCCTGTTGGTATGAGCGGCAACATCACATAACATTCCCATCATTGTGGGAGAAAATTGAAGTTGCTGGCATCTGTCTCTTAACATAGCCTTTTAGAAGTGGGTCTAAGAAGTGGCTATTCGGCAGCTATGACTTGCATCTCTACTATGTGTGCTAGGCAATTACAGAAAGTGAGAAAATTGTCCCGTGTGTGAGTATGTAGACCATGTCTCACCCATCCAATCTCCATGTGAGCACAATACAATTATCCTCATTTTACAGATAAGTAAAACTAAGTCTCGGAATGACTATACAACCTGCCCAAGATCTCACAGCTTTCAAGGCAGAGATCGGAAACTCAATTGCCTGTAATACAAATAAGAAACTTGAATACTAAGGTCAGAACATGATATGAATTCTGTGAAAAACTGTCCAATGGGCCTGGCATGGTGACTCATGCCTGTAATCCCAGTGTTTTGGGAAGCTGAGGCAGGCAGATCCCTTGAGCCTAGGAGTTGGAGACCAGCCTGGGCAACATGGCAAAAACCTGTCTCTACAAAAAAAAAAAATTTTTTTTTTAATTAGGCGGCTGTGGTGGCACATGCCTGTAGTTCCTGCTACTCAGGAGGCTGAGGTGAGAGGATTGTGTGAGCCCTGAAGGTTCAGTGAGTTGTAATCGTACCACTGCACTCCAGCCTGGGTGACAGAATGAGAACCTATCTCATAAACAAACAAACAAACAGACAAAAAAAAAAAACCCTATGAAATGGAAAGTTGGCAAATCTCAGTAATTTATGTTGATGAGCATAATTAGAAAACCTTATGTTTGTATCTGTACCTTTGAAAAACAGAACAAAGCAGAAAAATAATAGGTTGTAGACATCTTCAATGGTCAGTACAAACAAGGGTTTGCTCATAGTTGAATCAGGCAACTGTAATACATATGCTTACAGCAAGTACCTAGAGATGGGGACTAGCCCCTACCTGGAGTATTCCCCCTGTTAAACCTATAAGGAAAATATATATCTCGGTTGAGTATCTCTAGAGAGAATCTAAAAGAATTTAGTCTCTTATGTTGTATCTCACAGTTGAGAGCTGAGATCTGGCTTTTCGGTTTCATTCTGTAATAGCTTCCTTTAGTTTGTGTTTATGTTAGACATATAAAAGACTCACAGTCATCTATTCTCTCCCAGGTTTAAAAATGGCCACATCTTCCACTCTCATATTGCAATTTGGAAACAGTGAAGACTAAAGACCAAGAAGAGAATAGTTTCTGGTATTAGATTGCTTGATTAGTTTAAAACAAATATTATTATATTTTTAACTAAAAACCCAAGGGAACTCATCTTGGTCTATAGCCACAATCACTGTAAATAGTAACTCTAGGACACAGAAGGAGTAGTTGAAATCCTCACTAAATCCCCTCTATTGGAGTAAACCGCACTTACATGGTTACCCTGATGGCTTGATGTGTGCATTTCCTTTTGGAATGCTGGGTTTGCAAAGATCTTATTTAAATTCAGACTCTTTTTTACACTGGGTCTTGAAAAATTGGGATTTCTTTTAACTGGACAGGAATGTTAATAGGCCCTGAAGCATCTCTTGCTTAGATGGGCCTGGTTGAAGCCACATTCTGTAAGAGGGACAGCTCACTTTTTTCAGACACTCCGGTCTGTGGAATTTTATCTGAGGTAGAACCAAGTTGAGATGGAGAGCCATGGGAATACCCGAAGAGAGTCCTTGAAGTGGAGCTTAATGAAGCCTGCAAAAGGATTCACTGAGCATCACAGAAGGCCTGGTCTGTGCAGAACTAATTAGTTTGTTAAGTATAACCTGTTGTATTCAATGTACGCAGTGCCTTATGTGATACACAGATAACAATGGGTTTTTCATGAGAACTTTCCATTCTTCGTCTAAAACTAAAAATATCCTTAGACAAACATGGCAAAAGAGGAAAAAGTCTCTGGCTGGCCTGGCCTGGATTTCCCACATACAACTTCCTCACCAAGTGGTTGTTTCTGTTACCATGGGCTACTAACATTGGCCTGTTTCCTCTGGTTCCAACTACAGTTGCTCAAAGTTCACTTGGAGTATCTAGATTTCATCAACAATAATCTTAAGACACTTTTCTCCCTCAAATACTCTCCAATGTTGTCTAGACTGGGTATATTGATTATTATTCTGGATAGGATTTCTCTTTCTGTTTGGTCCTAATTACAACTCTGAAACTAATCTAGTTCTGTTCTATAGAAATATAATGAGAACTGCAAATATAAACCACATACGTATTTCAAATTTTCTAGTAGCTACATTAAAAAGAAAGGTAAAATTAATTTAATAATATATTTTGTGGAACTATATATAGTATCAAACATATTATATCAGCATGTAATCAATACACAAAAATCATTAATGGGATGTTTTACATTCTTTTTTCCCTGTCAGACTAAGTTTCCAAAATCTGGTGTATATTTCATACTTACAGCACATCCGAATCTGGACTGGTCACATTACATGTGCCCAAAAGCCACATGTCACTAGTGGCTACCAAATTGAACAGCACAGCACAAATCTGTTCTAGGGGCCTTGGGTTCTCACCAACTGCTTGTGGTAACAGAGAGATTTTCATGTTGCTCACATTTCAGTGGGATATATAACTTCCTGATTCGGATCAACCTGAAAATAACTCCCTACTTGCCCACCAAGGAGATGCCCCATGACAATGCCTGTCGATTAAACTCCACAGCTTTGTTCACCCCAACTTCCTTGCATTATTCTTGTTTAATCACTGCATTTGTAATTGCCATGTTGAAGACAGTAATGCAAAAAGTATTTCCAATTTCATAGCTTTGACTGCATCATATTGTGTTGTTGTTGTTTGTTTTTACTTAAGTGGGGTAAGAATGTCAGGATAAAAGCTTTCTTTTACTTTACTGTTTCACCTCACTATTTTCTTTTCCTCTTTCTTTGTTTCCTGTGTGTTGAAGATGTTGTCACCTTCCTTATTCCATGGTTTATGGAGTTTCATGCCTTCTCTTCTTTCTGGAGGTCTTTGCATGCAGAATGTCGAGTAGATCATGTCTGAGGTCCCTTTCAGCCCCTCTGGAGCCTGCTTCCTGTCCACAAGTAGGGTAAGAGAAGAGAGGCTAGACAGGGACTCAGGGCTGAAGGCAGCGATGTGAGGAGTGCCAGGGGGTAGAAAACAGGGATAGGGAAGCATGATAGGGGTAGGAGGAGAAGGGAAGACAGACAGAAAGGAGTCAAGTATGTGTAAAGCATAGAAAATGGCTGGCGATTACATAGAGAAGGGTATTCTAAAGCTGGTGGGACAATCAAAATATACGAATTGTAAAGGTTAAGTGAAATGTTTATTTTAGTCCTTTCTCCTCTTCAGTCAGCCTGACTGAATACGATTAACAGGCACACTGCGCTAGCTGCATACTAAAATTAGGTGTTAGTTCGACTTCTCACTCACAGCATTAATGCACAGAGGGCTCTTACACATAAATGCCTTTCTCACCAGGCTCAGGCACCTCACATCCTTCCTCAAAGTTGTACGTTAAAAAGGAAACATGGAGCTTTTGTTCAGTTGGCCTGCCTGTGTCAGTCAGTGCCTTGTGCTGGAGAGAAAAACATAGCAGAGTGGAGCATCGGACCTGATTGAGGTCAAATCCTGGCTCAACAACATCCTAGCATTACAACCTTGGGCAAGAATATTTACCTCGCTTAGGCACAGCTTTCTTATCTACTCAATGGACATACACATTTCTCTTTTACCTACCTTACAAGGATTTGGGAGAAAATTAATAAGATAATGCATAGGGAAGTATTTAAAATTTCTTAAATCTTACACAAAAGGACTAATGTAATTGTGTCTATGTTGACCATTATGTCTAAACATTTGCCAGGTTGCTCCCAGTTTACAAATAGAGCAAGAAAGACCCAGACAAGTAACACTGGCTCACTCAGTATATCCCAGAAACCAGGGATAAAAGATGAAAACCTAGTCCACTGCCTTCCAGCCACAGCCTGTGTTCTTCAACCATGTTGCCTTTTTGAGAAAAATATTCCTCACCTCAACTCCATTCTAATATAATATCTGTTCAGCCATCAAGAGAGAAAAGACCAAAGGTATTTTTCAGATTTTTTTTAAAAAACTGTCTTTAATAACTCTTTGAAAGATTGATGTCGAAATCATTTTCTTTCTGAAATTTCTTTATCTTCTCCATCATTTATATATATTATTTTGTGCCTACTTATAAAAGCTGAAATACATGGAATTTTTAGCCTAATGATAATTGAAACATGTGTCCTTGGGTTTTTTTCCCTTTGTTAAGTATACTCACACCAAAAATATATGAGTTTTTCACTTGTTCAACAGTCTCACAAATAAACACTTGTTAATGAATTAGTTTTCAGAAACAATTTATTTTCAATTCCCCGATAGCTTACATATACAAAGCCAATGACCAAGTTTATGTTCACATTCACTGTGTACAAAAAAAGCAGCTAATACTGCTTAAATATGTGTTCCTTGTATTAATACTTGATCTCATTAGGTGACATGCAGTAATGACAACATCACCGAGCTTCAGAGCTGGTTCAAGCCCCAGAAATGCTTCCAGCTAAGACCTTAGGCTTATCTCATTCCCCCTTGAACCTCAGTTTCATCATCAGTAAAGTGGAAATAATATCACACCTGTGTCACACAATTCTTGGGAGAAATAAAAGACCTACTTTTTATGGAACAGTTTTATGAAATTCAAAGTCTTGTAGAAAATTTATTTTTTCTCGGTGTAATTCTTTCAAGCGATAGCTATATGGAGGCAAGAATATTCAATATGTGCTGTGCTGTTCCCCAAGGGTCATGTTTCCATTGTGTTGATTACTGATAAGGAAGGATAAAAGCCTATGACATGAAAGAGGGTGGGAATCTGAGAGGGTGGAACAATCATCTTAAGAAATATGGCCTGTAATTCTTGGAATTAAAGGACCTTAGAGATGATCTAGTCTAGCTCCTAATTTCTCAGTTAAGAAAACAGGACAGGTGGTGTGGGAAAGATGGGCCTTATTTTCAGCAGTGCAAGAATAAAGACCAAACCAAAACCATAGAAAATGCTTTATTTTCTGCAGCTAGCTATTTCGCTACACTGTGCTGTCTCATTTATAAGGACCAAATATCACATTCTCTGGGTGATGGCAGGGCACCCGTGGATGATGCAGCCTTGGAGAAGTCACTCAGGGACTCTCAGAAATAGAAGGGTGATATAGTTTGGACATGTGTCCCCTCTAAATCTCATGTCAAATTGTAATCTGCAATGTTGGAGATGGGAAGTGAATGGCTCATGGGGATGGATTTCTTATGAATGGTTTAGCATCATCCTCTTGATGCTGTCCTTGCAATAGTGAGTTCTCGTAAGATCTGGTTGTTTAAAAGTGTGTGGCAGGCCGGGCACGGTGGCTCACACCTGTAATCCCGGCACTTTGGGAGGCCAAGGTGGGAGGATCATGAGGTCAGGAGATCAAGACCCATCCTGGCTAACACGGTGAAACCCCGTCTCTACTAAAAAAATTAAAAAATAAAAAAATAAAAATAAAAAAATAAAAAAAATTAGCCGGTCATGGTGGCATCTGCCTGTAGTCCCAGCTACTCAGGCGGCTGGGGCAGGAGAATCGCTTGAACCCAGGAGGCAGAGGCTGCAGTGAGCTGAGATCGCACCACTGTGCTCCAGCCTGGGCGACAAAGTGAGACTCCGTAGTAAAAAAAAAAAAAATTGTGTGGCATCTCCCCATCTCTCTCTTCCTCCTATTTTCTCCATGTGACGTGCCTGCTCCTGTTGTACTTCCCACCATGAGTAAAAGCTCCTCAAGCATTGAGGCCTTTCCAGAAGCCAAGCAAATGCTGGCACCGTGTTTCCTCTGCGGCCTGGAGAACTGTGAGCCGATCAAACCTCTTTTCTTGATAAATTATCCAGTCTCCGGTGTTTGTTTATAGCAACGTGAGTACTATACATCTGGCTCTGTAATCAAACCTGTTATACTGACTCTCTTACAAAATCCCCACCAAGTGTCCACTATCCTCTCTATACCTCTGGCGATGGCACACTCAATGCCCATCTAGACCATCCTGACCTCATTTTCAAACACATTTTTTAAATAAGAATGGATACATGTTTGCTGTTGGCCTCTGTCTACCCTCTCTCCTACTCATCTGAGACCCAGGCTGCTAGGATAGATTCATCCAGCCAATATATTCACACCTGCCTGGGGCTGGACTTGGGGATACCCTGGAAAGCAAAACAAATGGCAAGCCTGTGAAAAGGGACAAGCATCAAATAAGTCATTGCAGAATTAGTTACTTCATTGAAGTTGTAATGGGAGTTCTAAAAGAAAAGAACTAGATGCCATACATGAATGTAACAAAGGGATCAAACATAGGCTTGGGGTCAGAAGAGAGTTCCCCAAGAATGTGGTAATCGAGCAGACCTTGGTCCAGTGAAGTTAGATGAGTGTGAAAAGGGAGTTCCAAGCTAAGAAAATTGCTGCTGTGAAGGCCTTGAAGGAAAAGAGCCCAGAGAGTTCTGGGCAAGGAAGGAAGGCCAATGTGGATGGAGCAGAGTGCAGAAGGTGGGGTGGGGAGAGAGGTCAGGAAAGCTACCCCACATATCACTCAAACACTTTACAAGGACTTGTTCCTTTGTTTTTCAAGTTTGTCTATAATCCCCTTAAGCAGGTTGCCTGAAAAGAGCATAAGGGTTATGAACACCAACTGTATTTCAGACTGCGTAGATACAAATTCTGGCTCCATGAATTGCTAGCTGTGAGACTTTAAAGTGGTTCTGTATTTTTCTCTGGATCTTCACCTATAACTGGTCCTAATAGTAGTACTCACTCCCAGTGTCTTGAGAATTAAATTAGTTCATATACACAAAGTTTCTAGAACAGTGTCTGGCATATAAGTGTTGCCTAAGACCTATTTATTACTATAATGGGGCAATGGCCTGACTCCTGTTTTTCTCTAGCTTTTTAGTCTATGTCAATTCAGGTTCTCTGGGAAGCAGACAGGCTGGGTAGGGAGAGCTTCTGGTGCAATACCCATCTGAGGCCCTCTTGGAGGACCCACTGAGAAGCTCTAGAACAGATTCCCTGAGCAGAAAAAGTCAGGTTCTAGTAATGCTGCCATGTTTAGTATGCTGAACATAAACATGAAATTTAAAGGTTGAAGTTTGAAAGCTGGTTTTACCAGAGGTTATGGTTTGAATGTTTATGTACCCTTAAAATTCACATGTTGAAATCTTGGCCTCCAAGGTGATGGTATTAGGAGGTGAAGCTTTGTGGATAGTGATTAGGAATGGGATTAGGGCTCTTGGGTCTTGGGCCTAAGGGAATGTGTTTCTCCTTTTCATTATGTGAGGACACAGCAAAAAGTTGCCATCTATGAGCCAGAAAATGGGTCTTTGCCAGACCTCAAATCTGCCTATGTTTTTATTATGGAATTTCCAGCACCTAGAACTATGAGAAATAAATTTCTGTTGTTTATGAGGTACCCAGTCTATAATATTTTATTATAGCAGCCCAAAGGGAGTAAGACAGAGTCCAAGGAGTGCACATATCACTGTTATAGCTTCTCACTCATTAAGTAGCTCCCCCAGCTCCCTGACCCTCCTTTGAATCTCCCAGACTCTCAGCCGAATTACACTGTCTACTGTCCCCTGGCCCTCCTGGTCTATTTGCTTTGAATAATCCCAAAACCATCCCCCCATACTGATCCATGGAAAAATTCTCTTTCAGAAAACTGGTCCCTAGTGCCAAAAAGGTTAGGGACCACTGTTGAAAGCCTTTTTCACACCTAGCAAAGCTAAGTTATCATTATGTATTTAGCTATGTATAGCTATGTGTGTGTTTACATGTGCACATGTATGCATGTTTAATACAAGCAAAGGTATTTTGGGTAAATAATGGTTTACCATGGTTTGGGTATGTTTGGGTAAATAATGATTTTCAAGTCAACTGAAAGGGATATTTGTGTGTGTGCATGTATGTGTGTGAGAGAGAATAAATAGCATATTGACAAAGTCACCTGGGCCAAATCACGGAATACCTGATAAGCAGTGTGAGCCATTGGATAATATTTCATATGCAATGATGGAATGGAGAGTCAATGGCTTTATTCATGATCCAAGAACTAGGGTCATGAGAAGGCAACCAGGACCAGAGTAGGGAGATCATGAGAAAATCCCAAAGCCGCAGTCCACAGTGGGGCCCAGACCTTAAGAACCAAGAAACTTGTCCTAAAGACACAGAAACAGAAATGGAGCCTTGTGTTAGGCTTGATCCTGTCAACAATGGGGAATCAGTGAAGGCACTAGAGAGTGATGGTCACATATGTGATGGAGAAAGATCCCAGTGAGAATGAACCTAGAGAGAATGGGGAAGGGAGAAGCTGACTCTGGGAGACCAGCTTGGCATTTATAGTAACAATCAATGCTGGAGGAAGATGACAATCTTTGAGGAAACATAATGAGTTCATTATAGGACAAACTATACAAGATTCATTAGAGTGTGAGTGAATTGTAGGACTTGCTGAAATGCTGACTTCAAAGGACTGGGAGATGGAAAAAGAGAGGGTGCAATCAGGGAGGAAGGAGGAAGCAAATGACCAAAGAGAGGAGTGTCAAAATGCAGAAATGTTTGATCTCTTCAACATGATGGAGAAGATGAGTGAAGTTTGCACTGAAAAAAAAGCAAGGTTTTGAATTGTGTTGGTCCCTGGTGATCATTGATAGAGCAATTTTATAGAAGGTGGTGGGGCCAGACCATATTGTGGGTGGATGATGCATTAGTGGGAGGTAAGGATGTGAAAGCAGATACATGATGTGGAGCACAGTGGAAACCATGGCTAGGCTTTGATTTCCTCCAGTCATGTTTGCTTAACCTTTTCTAGTCTTCTTCATACTTTCTAACAGTTTCACTACATCCTGAATTTTCTCTACAATCATTTGTCATGTTGTCCTTTGATATATGGTCTTTATTCTATCTTTGCTACAGACCTTTTTACTCCTGGACTCCTTCTCTCTTGAGATCCTCTATAGGTTTACAGTCAGAGCTGCCTGTTTGATTGTTGCTTCACCTTCTCTTTCCACTTTCCCTGCTCCAAGTGGCGTGTTGTAGAAACATAGCTAGTCATTCTCTGAAATTCTTAAATCAGCTTTTCCAAAGTCCAGGGACATACCTTGAGTTTCATCAGCCACACACATAACCTTACTTTCAGAAGACTTCCTGCTAGCATTCCTGAGAATGTCTGTCATGCAGAACGAGTGGGGTCTTGCCTATGTCCCTTTGCTAGTTAATCTTTATACAAGAGTATATAAAGATACCTATATATCAAACCTGCACGTTGTGCATATGTACCCTAGAACTTAAAGTATAATAATAAAAAAATAAATAAGAAATAATTAACAAAAGATACATTTGTGGCAATTGTCATGTTAAAATCAGCATATAAAATAACATTAAATCTGTAGACCACATAGGGATGACAGGTCATTTCAGTCCGTGAATGCCTATCTTGTTCGACCATGGATGCTAAGAAAGAGAGAAGTCTCCTCCCTTCTTTTCTCCACTTACAATGTCTCTGAAATTAGTACTGCTCACACAATCCCAAAAAACTCATAGAACTCTTTCTTGCTGGGAACACAAGCTCTGCATGCTACTTCAGGTCTCACTAAGATTTTTGCTACATGCCAACCTCTAGTCTATAGCATATGCTTAGTATTAAAGTGGATAATGTAACAAAAACTTGGACCCACTCACAGAGAACTACCATACTTTTTTTTTTTGCTTATTACTTCTTGCTTAGTCATTATTTCTCCAATCTGATAACAAATGTATTAGGCTGGTGCAAAAGTAATTGCAGTTCTTGCCATTGAAAGTCATGGCAAAACCCACAAGTTACTTTTTTGCACCAATATAATACAATTACCAGGATTAGCTGGATGACCAGATTCCTCATCTAGAATGGCATGGTAGCTTTCTCCCAAGTCTCTTATGTGAGTATATCCTGTGTTGATCAAGATATAAAATGCAGTTTGATAAGGATGCCAAGACATTTAAAAATAAAAGAATAGTCTTTTAAACAAATGCTCCTGGATAAACTGGATATCTGCATGCAGAAGAATAAAGTTGGACTCCTATATCACACCATGTACTGTGCAAAAATTAACTCCGAATGGGCAAAAGACCTAAATGTAAAGGCTAAAGCTATAAAACTCTTAGAAGAAAATATGAGAGTTAATCTTCATGACCTTGAATTAAGCAAGTCTTATTAGGTATGATACCAAAAGCACAAGCAACTGAAGAAAAAAATAAAGTGGACTTTATCAAAATGAAAAATATTTCTGCTTTAAAGAACACCATTAAGTATGTGAAAAGACAATTCACAGATTAGAAGATTTTTGCAAATCATATATCTGAAAGGATAGTTGTATCTACAATATAGAAAGAAGTTTTAGAACTCAATAATAAAAACAAAAGCCCTATTAAAAAATTGACAAAAGATTCCAATAGACATTTCTCCAATGAAGATATACAAATAGATAATAAGCCACATGTAAAAATGTTCATCATTAGCCATTAAGGAAATGCAAATCAAAGCTACAGATAAATACAACTTCATACCCATTAGGATGGCTTTAATTTAAATGACAGACAGGAACAAGCATTGAAGATGAGTAGAAACTGGAATCCTCTTACATCACTGATGAGAATGCAAAAAGATATGGCTGCTTTGAAAAACAGTCTGGTAGTTTCTCAAAAGGTTAAACGTAGAGTTGCCATACAACTCAGTGATTCAACTCATAGGTATATAACCAAGATAAATAAAAAACATATGTTCATACAAAAAGCTGTACACAAATGGTTATAGAAGCATTATTCACAATAGGCAAAGAGTGGAAATAATCCAAATGTCCTTCAACTGATAAATGGATAATCAAATTGTGATATATTTTATTCAGCCATACAAAGAGATGAAGTGCTGATACCTGCTACAATATGGATAAGCCTTGAAAATACTATGCTAAGTGAAAAAATCAGACAGAGAAAAAAAAAAAAAACATGCAATGTGTGAATGTGTGATTCTACTGATACAAATCTCCAGAATAGGGAAATCCATAAAGACAAATTAGTTTTTGTTTAGGGCAGAGATGAGGAGCTTAGAGAGTGATAGTTAAAAGCTATGGGCTTTTTTTTTATGGGGGAGGGTGTGGTGAGGAAAAAAGTGTTCTGAAACTAGATAGAGCTGATAGTTTCACAACTGTGTTATTAATACACTAAAAACACTGAATTGTAAATTTTAAAATGATGAGTTTCACATATCATTCATCTGTTATGTGGATTACACCTCAATTTTAAAATGTTAAAGTGGAGGAAAAGAAAGGGGAAGAGAAGCAAGAGGGGAGAGGAGGGGGAAGGACAGGAAGAATAAGAAGGAGAAGAGGGAGGAATTAGAGGAAGAAAAAGAGGAGAAGGAGGAGAAGGAGGAGGAGGAGAAGAAGTAGTAAAGTGAGCAGGACAATAACTAACAATTTTGCAGAAAAAGTTCCAGGAGGCAAGTTAGCTACTTTGCCAGTAAAGATTAGGTTCATTAAAACTCCAGATTTGATAGATCCTTTCAACCTACCAACAGGTAGCAGGGGATATCTTATGCTGTCCCCATCAGGTGTAACATCATTACTAACGTATTAACATTGAGCTTTTGAACCATAGATGCTGTACATTACATTTGGACAGATACTCCATGTGCCCAAGACCAGGTGATGTGTGCTGCACAGATTTTTTTAAATTATAATTCAAATCTGGAAAGGATTTTAAAGATTGTTATAATCATGATCAATTAATAACAACTAAATTTGATACAGTATAAAATAAATATTTGTTTGATGGGGATGGCCTCTATCTCTCTCTTTGAATTTCTCTAACCTTGAATTTTATCTGTCTTGTGGCCCTTATTTCACCCTATCTTGTTGTATGCTGCTTTCATGTCTGTATTATCTCACTGATAGATTTTCAATTCTTTAGTGCAGTATCATCTCTGTAACCCTCATGCATAGCACAGGGCTAGCCAACAGTATCCTGGACTCAGTTGATGTTTGTTGGTAAATGAATCAATGAACCTCTAATTCCATTTGGAACTGGACAGAGTACACATATAAGGGAATTTTCTCAAAATAATTTCAACTTTCATTTTAGATTCAGAGCAGGTTTGTTACATGGGTATATTGCATGCTGCTGAGGTTTGGGATATGAATGATCCTGTCACCTAGATAGTGAGCATAGTATCCAACAGTTCATTTTTAAAACCTTGCCCCACTCCCTCCCCACTCTATTAGTTCTAACAGTGTCTATTGTTGCCATCTTTATATCCATGAGGACCCAATATTTAGTTCCCACTTACAAATGAGAACATGTAGTATTTGTTTTTCTGCTCCTGCATTAATTTGCTTGGAATAATGGTCTCTAGCTCCATCCATGTTGCTCCAAAGGATATAATCTTGTTCTTTTTAATGACTGCGTAGTATTCCATGGTATATATGTATATTCTGTGTATCCAATACACAATTGCTGGGCACCTAGGTTGATTTCATGTCTTTGATATTGTGAGTAATGCTGTGATAAACATACACATGCATATGTCTTTTTGGTAGAAAAATTTGTTTTCTTTTTGATACACATATAAGGGATTTAAAAAAATAATATAAGAATGTTGTTATATTAGGGGTAGAAGGACTATTGCCTATACCCACTCCCCAAATTAGGCTCAGTTTCCACAGTGACACAGCCTCCAACTCTATTCTATGTTGAAATGACTTCTATTAATGTTTTTGAGCAGCCATTTCATGATGTACAACTGGAACATGGTTCCCCTTTATAACACTAGTTAGATTTTGGGAATTGTAGAAAACTTTGGCTGGGGTTAGCATTTAACTATCTGGGAGCAGTTGCGTTCTTTTATAGATGTTCTTTGAAATATAGATGAATCCAAAATTCAGAATGCAGATCAGTAATTTTCTTTCTGGATCTCCTGTGGCCACCTCAAGAGCGCCCCTTATGAGGCCACTACAAACCCCAGTGTCAGAGCTCTTCCTGGTTCCGAAGAGCAGGCACTTTCAAGGGAGTCCTGTGGGGAGTGAGTTGTTCAAGGGGAAAGCAAGGCATTGTTCAGGATTTAAAGAGCCCCAGAGATCTGTGAAGACCTTCTGCTACTGATGTCTTCATAGGCTTTGGTACGATTTGCTTTCTCATCCCATAGCAGCTGGAAAATATTTTCAGAAATTTTGTTTCAATACAAAATTTTTATTTAGATTTTGTTTTTTTGAAGAAGGGAATTCAGAATTTTGTGAGAGATTTAAAATATATGCAATGTGTTTTTGATATCTTTAGACTTTTAATGCCTATTAAGTTTTAGAAATAATTGTGGCTTTGACAGAATTTGGTTTGCTCATAATTTATCACATTTGATGCTTTTCTTTAATTACAATAATATATGCAACCATCTTCAGGCTTATAAAGTGCTTTTTCAGTCTGCCCTCATCACAAGATGACTAGGAACCTCATTTTATGGATGAAAACATTGAGCTTAAGAGAGGTACAGTGATGTGCCAAGCTCACACAGGTAGTAGCAGAACCAAGACTTCAAAGTCAGGCATCAGGCTCTAGATTTTATCTTTTTCAGCACCTCACCTTATCCTATTCATATTCAGATATGCGAAGACTAGACCTCAGAGGAAGTCAAACAGAATTTGAGGGCATATAGTCCAAAATTAACATGGACAGAAAAAAGTAAGCCAAGCCTCAAGATATAGACAAGATGCATCTTATGAGTTTTAGTCTCTCTCTTTTTGATTCAGAATCACATCTCCTTTCTTATCACAATGCAGACGTTAGGTTTTCCCCAGACTGAATTTACAGATAATAAGAACCCCAGCTCTTAGGTCTGGGATTCAGACAAACATTCTCCCAAGGCAAAGGTTCAGTGCCTTACGTACTGGTATAAATGGAAATGCTATAACATTCCCGTATGCAAACAACTTGCCAAAACAGTGTAGTGTTTCAAAAGCCATGTACTGAATGGAGACAAGATTTCTGTACAAGCTGTGGGAGCAGGGTGAATTTATGAAGCAGAAAGTATGGGCTGAGGAAGAGATCAGCCCAGTAACAGTTTACTGGCCTTGCCGTTCTCTTAAGAGGCACTAATGGTAGTGGACTGGTGCAATGGAAGTAAACCCAGCTTCATTTAAAGCAGTAGCATGAAATTGGTTGCAATAAAATTATGCATTAAGTGTGCATTATGTTTAATAAGACTGGATTGCACTTCCCATGTTTACTCTGTGACTATTGAGGCTGATCCAATTTTCTAAAGTTCTCCAATTGGTTCACGATCGAGTTTTCGGCCAGAAGGTCAAATTTCCCTTGCTGTTATTATATGTCTCTATTACTTTACTATGGCATTTACACTTTATATTCATTACTTTTTTTCTGTCTCCTGAACCTTCCCCATTCCAAAATGTTCCCTGTAGATGGCCGGTTTGACACAAATTAGAACAACCTTGATAGCTGTCAACTGGAGACTATCTGAGAACAAAAGGACATTATTGCAAACCAGCACTGGAGGTAATTTCATGTGCTTTCTCTGAAGACTTCTTAATGGCCTTTGAGAAATAACACAATTCAGATCTGCAACCAGGAGGCAGGGTAGATGTTGGACAGCATGGGAAACATGTGACTTGGACTTTAGATCCTACCATCTAGGGGTTAGGAGTATTACCATTAGAAAATAGAAATATCTATTTTTCATTTCACGCATATTAATTAATTCATCTAATTAGAAACACTCATTGGGAACCTACTATGTGCCAGATAGTATGAATGTGGTGAGGATACACCAATGAATAAGACATGGTCCTGTTGTAATTTTATAGTATAATAGGGATGGGAAGTAGGGATGTTGATACATTAAAATATACTTTCAATTCACTGAGATATATGAAATAGCAGAGGAAGAATTTAGAAAGTATAATTAGTATTTCTGGTGGAGAATAGACAACCTTTGCAGAAAAGGTGAAAGAGCTTTCTAAAGAAAAAAAAAAGAAAGAACAGAAGGAATAAAAGGCATTCCAGGCAGAGAGAATGGCATATGCAAGACATGGAGGTGTGAAAGAGGATGATATATTTAGGAAATCACAAGTAGATCACTGGGGGCCATAAATGGTACGGGGACTAGAGTGGAATATGAAATGGCAGGAAATGAGGCCAGAGTGTGAGGATTGCTCAACATAAATCTGTCAGGGGTTTAGATATTATCCCATAGTCATGAAGGCATCAACGAAAAATTCTCCCAAACAAAGAATTTTAATCTTTTACTTCTACAGCTTGGTTCAAGTTGGGTGAAGAATAAATAGGACCCCCTTGAAACATCTTTCTGAAAGAATACATTGAGGGAAGTGTAAAACAATGCATTGGTATACATATGTGTATGTATGTGAATAAACATATATATCATACATACATATATGCATATCACATACTGTATTATGTATATAGTGTGCATACCTATTATATGCATATAACATATATGCATATGTATCTGTATAGATAGATAGATATGGCAATACTTTCTTGTAAACTTTTACAATAGTCATGGACTTTAGCCATGTTGAATTAACGTGCATCATTCTTACACTTACTTATCATTGTAAGCAACTCTGAAAGAAGATAAAAGTACATGAAGAAATCATTTGCAGGCACTGGACAAAAAAGAGTGCAAAACTATAATCTTGAGAGCAGGACACACACAGGTAAGCTCCACATTCATATTGTGTTCCTACATGAGAATATTTTAAAATATTTCATATAAGTAGACCCCAAACTGAAAGCATCAGTATCCCTAGAGAAAGGAAACAGAGATCAGAATTCAGACTGCTGTGGCAGCTAGAATTTATAAGGCAAGGTACTAGAAATAAGAGAACTGTACCAAAAAGACCTCCAGAAATTTCCATTGAATCTCTTTAAGTCTTTGCCCAGATACTAATCTGTATGTGAATATGGCAAGATTTGGTCGGGCACAGTGGCTCACACCTGTAATCCCAGCACTTTGGGAGTCTGAGGTGGGCGGATCACCTAAGGTCAGGGGTTTGAGATCTGCCTGACCAACATGGTGAAACCCATCTCTACTAAAAAAAAAAAAAAAATACAAAGATCAGCGAGGCATGGTGGCCCGTGCCTGTAATCCCAGCTACTCAGGAGCCTGAGGCAGGAGAATCACTTGAACTTGGGAGGCAGAGGTTGCAGTAAGCCCAGATTGTGCCACTGCACTCCAGCCTGGGTGACAGAGTTTTGCCAAAAAAAAAAAAAAAAAAAGCAAGATTCAACAAAGACTGGCATGGAATAACTACACGCAAACTGTCAGCTGATGAGCGATCACAGAGGTCACACAGTACAAACGGAGATCAGATTTCCAGAGTAGATTGTCCTCAGTGAACACCTCTGCCATGAATGTAAGTCTTCAGAAAAGATACGTGTTGGGGGCAGTGCTACTACTTTAATCATGGAGTAAGGATTAATTGAAAGCCTGATGCATCTGAACTAACATCAAGCCTTGACAAGACCAAGCTGATCTGCTTGTGTGTGAATTAGCTGAATTGCAGACAGACACACAGACACACACACACACACACACACACAGAGGGAGAGAGAAAGAGAGGGAGGGAGGAAGGGAGGAAGGGAGAGGCTGATAGAAGCTATAAAGGGAAACAGCAAAACCCAGACTGTCAACAATGTAGAAACCACAAAATCTAAATAATCAAAACTTACTAGCCATGTAGAGGATCAAGAAGATATAAACCATAAATGAAGGGAGGGGAAAAGTAAACAGAAAAAGAAAATAGACTACACATATATTGGATTGAGTAGATATGGACTTTAAAGTAGCTAGAATAAATGTACTCAAAGCTGTAAAGTACAAGATGAGCATGATGAATAAACAGATGAGGAACCTCAGCCAATCAAAATAATTATTTTTTTAAAGGGAGCTAAAGGAAAATAAAATTCTAGAAATAAAGAATACAGCATCTGTAATTAAAATTTAATTGAAAAGTTTACTGAATGACCTTCATAACTTATTAAATACTACAGAAGGAAAGATCAGCAAGCTTGATGAGAGATTAACAGAAAACATCCAAACTGAATAACTAAGAGTGAAAAATACTTTAAAAAAATGGATCCTCTGTAATCTGTGGGAAAATATCAAGTGGATTCTTATTGTAAGTATACTTGGAGTCTTAGAAGAATCTAAGGGAAGAAAAATAAATTTTTTTAAATGGCCAAAAATTTTACAAAAGCAAATGAAAATATCAACCACAGATCCAGGAAATTCAGTGAATACCTGGAAGAATAAACACACACACAACAAACATACCTAGGACAAAATAGTCAAATTTCTGAAAATCAAAGATAAATAAAAATCTTAACAGCAATGAGAATAAAATAACATTATTTAGAAGGTAACAATGATAAGATTCACTGGTGACTTCACATCAGAAATAATAGAAGCCAGAAAATAAGAAAAAGGTATATTTAAACTACTAAAACTAAAACAGAACAAAACCTACTAATCTAAAATTAGATATGCTTCAGAAATAAAGATGAGATAAAGACATCTTCAGGTAAGTTAGAGCTAGGAAAATATGGTGCCAGTAGGTATGCACTACAAAAAAAATGTTAAAAAGATTTCAAGCTAATGCCAAATTGAAATGCAAACCTACAAGAAGAAATGAAAAGCATTGTAAATGATAAATATGTCGATAAATACAAAACACTACTTTTTCTTTGAATTGCTTTAAGATGCTTTTTAAAAGAAAGATAATCGGTGGCTCAAGGCTATAATCCCAGCACTTTGGGAGGCCAAGGCACATGGATCACCTGAGGTCAGGAGTTCGAGACCAGCCTGGCCAACATGGTGAAACCCCGTCTCTACTAAAAATACAAAAAATTAGCTGGGCGTAGTGGCAGGCGCCTGTAATCCCAGCTGCTCAGGAGGCTGAGGCAGGAGAATCGCTTGAACCCAGGAGACGAGGTTGAAGTGAGCAGAGATCACACCACTGCGCTCCAGCCTGAGTGACAGAGTGAGACTCTGTCTCAAAAAAAAAAAAAAAAAAAAAGAAAAAGAAAGAAAGATGACAGTATATTGTGGGTTTTAACACATATGTAGATGTAAAAGATATGACAACAGTAGCAGAAATGATGGAATGGTAAATGTAATTATATTTATTACAAGTTTCTTACGTTTCTGTGAAATGATAAAAAAAATTATTTTAAATGGGTATAAATAAAAGGCAATAAATTAAGTATGATAGACATCTGAAAAATATTCAAATATTTGGGAATTCAACACACTTCCTAAACAAGCCATGAGTCAAAGATGTCACAAGGGAAATGAGAAAGTATATTGAACTGAATGATATGAAAAACACAACTTACCAACATTTGCAGAATAGAGATAAAGCATTGCTTAGAGGGAAATGTATAGCTTTAAATGAATACATTATAAAATATAAAAAGTTGATAATTAAAGCTCTAGAATTTCATTCTAAGAAACTCAAAGAAAGAAAATTAAAGCGAGTGAAAGAATGAAATAATAAAGAAAAATGGAAATCCACGAAATAGGAGATGGTTAAATAATAGAGAAAATCACTAACTGCAAAAATATATTATTTGAAATAAATAAAGTTGATAAACCCCTAGGTAGATTAATCCAGAAAAAAATACTAATATCCAATATCAAGAAAATATGATCTTCAATAAAAGAGATTACCAATATCAGAACAAAGGAAAGACATCACCGTAGATTCTACAAATAATGAAATATTATGAACATCATGCCAATAAATTTAATAACTTAAAATGCCAAAAGCACGAACCATCAAAGAAAACATCAATAAGTTGTATTTATCAAAATTAAACTTGCTGCTCATAAAAAGTCATTGTTAAGAAAATTAACATGCAAACCGGAAGGAAATATTTACAATACAGATTCCGACAAAGGACTTGTATCCAGAGTATAAAAAGAATTCATACAAGTCAATAACAACAACAAAAACGAAGTGTGTCTCCAGATGCCAAAATAGGATTAGAAGTGCTAGAGATGTACTGGTTGAAGTATCTGTGAAGATAAACTGGTGGGGGAGTAGTGGCACACAAACAAGGAAAGACATCTAACCCCAGGGCAATTCTGATACCTGTCCAAGATAAGAAAGAAAGAAAAATTGTCTAGGAAGAGCCTCAAATTGCAACACACTCTCAGAATATTTTAATCAGGCTGATGAATAATCTTTAAGCAAAAGTTGCCCTTTAGAGGAATCCTTGTTAGGTGGGCATAGGTTAGACTCACATTCCCCAGTGCTTAGGCACTGGTTGAAAGCAGCAATGGGGAACTGTCAATCAATTATATTTCCCAAAATAAGCTTTCTCAAAGGAGATCTGAGCAGCACACTCCTATGGATGTCAAATCACACAGTTTAAAGAAATAGGCAAAAGAATTAAACAGACATTTCACAAAGGATGATATATGAATGGCCAAAAAGAACATAAAAAATTGCTCTACATCATTAGTCGTGAGGAAATTACAAGTCAAAACCACAATAAGATACCACTGCACACACATTAGAATGGCTGTAAATAAGAATGTTGACAACACCAAATACTAGTGAGGATATAGAACAGCAATAACCCTCATATATTACCTGTGGGAGTATAAAGTGGTAAAACCAGTTTGGAAAATTGTTTGTCAGTTTTCTATAAAGCCAAATGTATACTGACTCTATATCTAGCAATTTCGCTTCTAGGTATTTACCCAAGAGAAATAAAAACAAATGTCCATACAAATGTTTGTTTAAGAATGTTCATAGTAACTTTATTCGTAATAGTCTAAAATGGAAACAACTCAAACATCAATTAATGGAATATTACTCAGCAATAAAAAAGGAATGAACTATTTATATACACAATAACATGGATAGAGCTCAAAAACATTTTGCTAAGCAAAAGAAGTCAGACACACAAGAGTACAAAGTGTGTGATTCACTTAAATGAAATGATAACATTTTTTGTAATGATGAGAAATAGATCAGTGCCTCAGATAAGAGGGTACAGTAGTTCACTGAGGAGGGGCATGAAGAAACTTTCTTGAGTAGTGGAAATGTTTTGTGTCTTGATAAGAGTTTCTGTATTCTTTGGAAGTCATGAAATGCACATGAAGAGAGCTGTGAATGTATACACACACACACACACACACACACGTATATATTATCCACCAATTAAAAAAAAATTAGGTACAACCCTAACCATAAACATCTGGTAGAGTCAAAAGTTTGCATATTACACTAAAATATTCAAAGAAAGTATAAGTTCTTTGTCTCATGATCTGTTCTTTCTCACGAATTCCCCTCCCACAGCTCTCTAGGTAGCTGGGAAACCTAGAACTGGAAATTTACAATATCTCAATCTTTTTTCCACTTTAATCTCTTTTCACATAAAATGTTGGATATATTTTAAGTTCACCTTCCTCTTAGAGATGGCTTAAAGTTTTCCGTATTTCTGGCTGCTCTTTTACTTTAGGTGAGTGTTTCATCTTATAGTGTCCTGAACCCTCCCTGTTCTTTATCCTGAGATGATTTCTGGATCTGATGACAAGGCTTCTTTGCATACTCTCAAAGCAGAGAGAAAAGGCGTAAGTTCCAGCAGGTGTCCTTGGATCCTCTCTTATCTTTACTGGGAAGCGTCCGATCTATTCTGATACTTGGACTGATCACTGTTGAGGTGTTATTGGCCCCATCTAGAGCAAGGTGCTGCTGTTGAAAACTGGAATCCATGGTTCTGGTCATATGTCCCTGTTTGGAAAGCCCCTAAACACAGTGCTGTCTCTCAGCTCCTCAGTGTCCCCTCAGCGAGGCTCACAGAAACTTCTGGATTGATTACCTGACATAGCTACAGACAGCCCTGTCTTTCACCTATTTATTTCCTCCCCAGTCATCACTGCTGTGTATAACCCTACACCATATTGAAAGTAGCCTTGTGAGGAGACTTCTCCTGAAAGCATATGACCTTCCTCTACTATCCCCAAGGTTGCTGGTGACTGTCTCCTCTCTACATCCTCCCACCATATTTTTAAATTCTTTCATGTCTATCTGGATATTTCTGACTCATCTCCACCCACATCTTCTATTTTCTAACGGCTGTATGTCCCCTATGTCATATCCTGAGTTCTTTCTACTCCCTTTGTTCTAATTGTCTAGGACTGACACTAGTTATGAAAGGCACAAGCCAACCTGGAACAAGAGCTCACCGTGAAAAAAAAAAATGCTGCACATTGCCCTAGTATCATCAAAATATTGTCCCATTACACACAAAATATTTAGTTCGGAGTCTATCTTTTTAAGTTGGACAGTCAAACTAGTTTTACTGTGTTTTATTTCTCTTCTATTTTTCTGGCCAGTTCTCCTACAGTCTTGCTAGCTTTTTTTTTTTTTTTTTTTTTGAGATGGGGTCTGGCTCTGTCACCCAGGCTGGAGTGCAGTGGCACGATCTCGGCTCGCTACAAGCTCCGCCTCCCGGGTTCACGCCATTCTCCTGCCTCAGCCTCCCCAGTAGCTGGGACTACAGCGCACACCACCAAGCCAGGCTAATTTTTGTTGTATTTTTTAGTAGAGACAGGGTTTCACCATGTTAACCAGGATGCTCTCGATCTCCTGACCTCGTGATCTGCCCGCCTCGGCCTCCCAAAGTGCTGGGATTACAGGCGTGAGCCACCGCGCCCCACCCAGGCTTGCTAGCTCTTTAACCAATAGCAGACAGGGTGGCAAAAAGAGCCATAATGTAAATCCCAGCAGGGCAGCACCTTTTAGACAATGTGATGCCCATACTAGTCTGATTAGGCTGGCAAAGTTGTGACTCAAAGTCTTTTAAAAAATGGGGGAGGGAGAAGAGGAGTACTAGGCATGATTACACAAACTTAAAGTAGGAAATTAAATTCACCAGCATCAAGTAAAAAAAATCTCAAAATGCTTAAAGATTGAAAATAGAGACATTTCTATTATAACAGTTACCTGAGAATACTCTCCTTATGGAGAGAGGGGCTTATTGGACAGAACCGACTAATCTGTGTTCTCCTCACCCCATCAACATCATATAACACCATCCCAAGGTACCATCATACTGTCCTGATATCCCCAAGGAAAATTAATCAAAAAATTATAATAATCAAAATTAATATAAAACATCGAAAGTACAAAATTTCAACTACTTTCCCTGTGAAATTTTGACCAAGGCTCTATTTGTTGTGTAACAACTTAAAGATCACATATTTTTCATCATGATGTAATATAAATACCAAGAAAGGCCATATCCCCACCTTCCTTGTTTTAGCAGACAGTCATTGCCATTTCATTGTGGTACATTTCACAGCCCTAATGCAATCACAACCAGGAGCCATTTATGAATTAAATTACTCTAGCATTGCCTAAATTTCTGTGAGAAAGCAGATTTACCCCCCTTGAATGTTATTAGTGCAATCCTGGAATTATTTGTGTTTTCAACTAGTGAGACCGAATATAACCTTTCTGCTAAAATTCTGGCAAAAAGACACAGCAATATGTCTAACTTACACATTTGTGTTCATGTTCAATGCAAATGCCTTGGCAAGGAAACTTAGGTCAGAGGCTCCAATCAATCACTGGGATTTGAGACCTTGACTGGACTCTGCAATAGGAACTCATTTGTGGCCTGAACCCTCTTTATTAGACATGTCCACATAATACCAAGCAATGCCCCATTTGATCAGTTGAAGCAACTGACCAGGTCAGGTTGTTGTTTCTTGTCTTGCTTCTGTTTGTTTAAATAAAAGAACTATAGCACGGCAGATAAAGTTTAAGCCCCTTTTGTTACCCCTCACAAGAGCATTTATTCCTCTTCCTCTTCCTCTCTCCCAAAGCTACCACACTCAGGAATTTACTGTGTATCCTATTTCATATGTTTACAATTTTATTACATCTATATGTGTCCCCAATACATTTTTAAATGCTGTCATATAGTCTGTATGATTCTGCAACTTTTCATCCATTCAACATAATGTTTATGAGATACACCCATGTTGACACATGTAGACTTAGTTCATTTTAACAGCTACATTTGAATTCCATCACAAGCATATAGCACAATTTATATATCCATTCTCCTATTAATGGACATTTCAGTTGTTTCTAATTCTCCTCTATTACAGACAATGCTGCAATGAATGTCCTTGTTCAGATCTCCTTGGTGTACATGGGCAGGAACTTCAGTAGGGAATCGCTAAAGGCAGGATTTCTGGGTCCTAGAGCATATGGATTTTCTACTTTCTTAGTGGATATTGACAAATTAATTTAAATTCAAGTAAAATAGGATCTTTACTGTAGCTTATACAGCCCACTCCCTTTTTTTTTAATTTTTTCATCTGGGTGTGCAGTTTGTATCCCAAATAACACGGGCAGAACAGGACTCTTTTTTCCATATCTTACCCTGCAGTCAAATTGTTCATCCCCTAGGCTTTTCCATTTTCATTGATGATACAACCATCCATCAGCTCAACTGCTCAAGCCTAGAACCAGGTGACATACTTAACTCCAAACTTCCTCTCACCTCCCACATCCCTTTCATTTCTCCCCACCACCACCATCAACACCAGTCTCCCATCGTCATTCCCATCTAAGTCACCATCATCTCTTGTGGACCTCTGTGCTAGCCCTTGACATTCTTCAGAATTTCATTCTGCCTCTCAACACTTAGCAGCCAGAGTGAGTTTTTTTTGAAACATAAATCTGAGCCTGTGTTCTTCCTTGTTTAAAATCACCCATTGTTCTTGGAACAAAATCCATACTTCTTAGCCTATAAGGCCCTACATCATTTGAGCTTGTTCCCTTCACCTAATCCACCTAGGCCCACTCTCCCACTCCACTGCTCTCAGTCCATGCTGGTCCTCTATGCTCACACCTGCCAAGCCAACTCCTGCCTATGGATTATTATAATATTTCCTTATTATTTTATTTTTAATTTACACATAATAGTTGTATATATTTATGGGATATATAGTGATGTTTCAATACATATGCTGTATAATGGTTAGATCAAGGTATTAGCATATCCATCGTCTTAAACATGTATCATTTAACATTCAATATTCTCCTTCTAGCTATTTGAAACTATATATTATTGTTAACTATAGTTATCCTACAATGCTATAGAGCACTACAACTTATTGCTCCTATCTAGCTATAATTTTGTTTACTTTAACAAATCTCTCCCTACCCCCTCTTCCTCCAATCCTTCCCAGCCTCTGGTATCCTCTGTTCTACTTTTGATTTCTATGAGACCAACACTTTTAGCTTCCACATATGAGTGTGAGCATGTGGTGTTTAACTTTCCATTCCCAGCTTATGTCACTCAACATAATGCCCTACAGTTCCACTCATGTTGTTGCAAATGACAGTATTTCATTCTTTTTATGGCTGAATAGTATTCCATTGTGTATATACCATTTCCTAGAATGTTCTAAATTTTTGCTGGGCTGGCTTCTTCTTGTCCTATAGGTCTCAACATAAATATCATTTCATTGAGAGGCTGCTCCTAATCACTTAACCTATAGTAGTTCTATTGCAATATCCCACTTTAATTTTGTCAGAGTTATCATATTTTCTTGTGTTTTGACTTGATTTAATGGTAATTTTCTTATTCTTCCTTTTAGAAAGTAAACTCCATTAGAAAGGAAACTTGTCTGCCCAAGGTTTCATCTGTATCATCTACAATAGCACATGGCATATAGGAGATGCTTTGTGATTATCTGGTCTGTGAGTGAGTGAATAGTAATTCAAGAGAATTTTTCATTTTTCTGTGGCTTAGAGTTGTCTGTACACAGACAAATATTTAATGGACATGTTTAGGATGCTTTCATATGATAAATTTGGAGAACATATGATGTCCCTTGTTTTCTCCTTTAACTGATTTTTAAATTCAACTTTCTCAAGCTTCTTTAGCCAGAATAGGGTATCCCTTCTGTGGTATCCTGAAGCATTTTAATAGCCATTCCTAATATCTTCTATGGTACTGCATTGTGGTAATTTATTCAAATGTCTGTTTTCCACACTGTGCTGAGAGTTCCTTGAGAAAGGCACAGTGCTGGGTCCATTTCTGTATCCCCAGAGCTCAGTGACTTGAGTGAATGAATGATGGCTAAACGGGTGGATAGATGAAAAATGTCTGCCCAGTTTTGCCATGATGGTCAGAACCAAAACTACAAAAAATAAAAGGAGACAGACCTACATTACTCTCCAAAAGAGGGAGCAATAGAGTTATTATCACCTGGATAGTTCTCAAGATCTGCAAATCGAGCAAAGCCAGGAAATTCAAATTTTTGCCAGATAAGCCCTTGGCTTGCCAAACATATTTCTGTTTAAATCATTTATGATTCTGCTTATAGTACATGATAAACTTTTTGTTTTATACATCTCTTATTTTAGCATTCCATATTCTTATAAACATTTACAAAATCTTTCTTTCTGTGCTATGGATATTGTGTTGTGATTCTGCTGCTAAATTTGCTACTTTTTAATTAAATCAGTTTGGTTGTCATCTTACTAAGTCACTTCTTTCCATTTTTCTCCCAAACGTTTATTACTAAATTTTCAAGCACACAGAAAAGTTGGAAAAATTGTACAATTAGCATTCACATATTCACCATCTGAATTCAATAATTATCTTGCCATATCTATTTTATATCTCTATATACATATATACAAATGTATTTATATTTTTGCTATAAGTAAATTATAGGAATTATGATACTTCACCACTAAATATTTCAACCTACATCTCCTAAAAACAAAAGCGTTAATTTACATAATCTCAGTAGCATTATTTTATCCAGAAGATCAATAGCAATTCCCTACATCAGTTAATAACTAGTCCATATTTAAATTTTCCCCAATTGACCCCAAATTATATTTTATAGATTTTTTTTCAAACTAGGACCCATGAAGGCTCACACATTTTTCTTGGTTTTTATGTCTCGTGTCCCTTTTACTCTACAGAAGCCCCTCTCACAACTTTTGTTGTTGTTGGTGTTGTTGTCATTACACTGACTTTTTGAAGAGACCCGATCAGTTGCCTTCTAATAGATCTACATTCTGGATTTGCTTCAGGATTTCTCTGTGACGTCATTTAGCTGTTTTCTCAGCTACCTGTGTTTCCTCTTATTTAGAAATTAAGAATAGAAGCTTGATTGGATTCAGGGTAAATATGTTTTTTGTAAGAATAATGGTGATGCTAAGTATTCCGTATCTTTACAGAAAGCACATAATGTCAAGCTGCTCTATGATTACTGATGTTAAATTTGATCACTCCATTATAAATCTAACATTTTGCTTTTACAATGAACAATTAGTTGCAACACAAGCACTTAATAGAGCTGTCATCAGTGAAATGCCCACTATGTCCAGGTGCAGTGCTAACAACCCTTCATAACAATCCTAGGAGGAAGAATAACTTCACTTAAAGATGAAGAAACTGCATATGGCTAGCCAGTTTTCCCAGCACCATTTATTAAATAGGGAATCCTTTCCCCATTTCTTGTTTTTGTCAGGTTTGTCAAAGATCAGATAGTTGTAGATATGCGGCATTATTTCTGAGGGCTCTGTTCTATTCCATTGGTCTGTATCTCTGTTTTGGTACCAGTACCATGCTGTTTTGGTTACTGTAGCCTTGTAGTATAGTTTGAAGTCAGGTAGCGTGATGCCTCTAGCTTTGTTCTTTTGGCTTAGGATTGTCTTGGCAATGCGGGCTCTTTTTTGGTTCCATATGAACTTTAAAGTAGTTTTTTTTCCAATTCTGTAACTGGATCCCTTCCTTACACCTTATGCAAAAATTAATTCAAGATGGATTAAAGACTTAAATGTTAGACCTAAAACCATAAAAACCCTAGAAGAAAACCTAGGCAATACCATTCAGGACATAGGCATGGGCAAGGACTTCATGTCTAAAACACCAAAAGCAATGGCAACAAAAGCCAAAATTGACAAATGGGATCTAATTCAACTAAAGAGTTTCTGCACAGCGAAAGAAACTACCATGAGAGTGAACAGGCAACCTACAGAATGGGAGAAAATTTTTGCAATCTACTCATCTGACAAAGGGCTAATATCCAGAATCTACAAAGAAATCAAACAAATTTACAAGAAAAAAAACAAACAACCCCATCAACAAGTGGGCAAAGGATATGAACAGACACTTCTCAAAAGAAGACATTTATGCAGCCAAAAGCCACGTCAAACAATGCTCATCATCACTGGCCATCAGAAAAATGCAAATCAAAACCGCAATGAGATACCATCTCACACCAGTTAGAATGACGATCATTAAAAAGTCAGCGAACAACAGGTGCTGGAGAGGATGTGGAGAAATAGGAACAATTTTACACTGTTGGTGGGACTGTAAACTAGTTCAACCATTGTGGAAGACAGTGTGGTGATTCCTCAGGGATCTAGAACTAGAAATACCATTTGACCCAGCCATCCCATTACTGGGTATATACCCAAAGGATTATAAATCATGCTGCTATAAAGACACATGCACACATATGTTTATTGTGGCACTACTCACAATAGCAAAGACTTGGAACCAACCCAAATATGCAATAATGATAGACTGGATTAAGAAAATGTGGCACATATACACCATGGAATACTATGCAGCCATAAAAAATGATGAGTTCATGTCCTTTGTAGGGACATGGATGAAGTTGGAAATCGTCATTCTCAGCAAACTATCGCCAGGACAAAAAACCAAACACCACATGTTCTCACTCATAGGTGGTAATTGAACAATGAGAACACATGGACACAGGAAGGGGAACATCACACACCGGGGCCTGTTGTGGGGTGGGGGTAGCAGGGAGGGATAGCATTAGGAGATATACCTAACGTTAAATGACGAGTTAAGGGGTGCAGCACACCAACATGGCACATGTATACATATGTAACAAACCTGCACATTGTGCACATGTACCCTAAAACTTAAAGTATAATAAAAAAAAAAGATGAAGAAACTGAGGCTCCAATAGGAGAGAATCTGCTCTCAAAGCTATATCCCCTACAACACTAATGGATGTATATGGAGGAGGCAATGCAGTATTTTCTGGTTCCTAATCCGTTTCCTTGGTTTACCTAAGAACAACCATGGTAAGACATGGTCAGAAAATAGTAATTATTCTTTTTCTGAAATGAGTAGTTGAGTCTTTTTAACTAAAAACTCTTTAAAAATAACTTTAGATATTTTAATTCTTATTTCAGTACTTTCTACATACAAGTGTTTACTTCCACGCTCTTGAATGCATGATTGTTTATTCATTTATTTATTTTATTTTTTGGGGAGGTGTGGGGGGTGCGGAGTTTAACTCTTGTTGCCCAGGCTGGAGTGCAATGGTGCGATCTTGGTTCATTGCAACCTCCACCTACTGGGTTCAATCGATTCTCCTGCCTCAGCCTATGGAGTAGCTGGGATTACAGACATGTGCCACCATACCTGGCTAATTTTGTATTTTTATTAGAGATGGGGTTTTGTCATGTTGGTCAGGCTGGTCTTGAACTCCCGACCTCAGGTGATCCGCCCACCTCAGCCTCCCAAAGTGCTGGGATTATAGGCATGAGCCACCATGCCTGGCTGATTGTTTATTGATAGAAGTAGAAATTAACATTTTATCTTACATAGTTATTCACATTAAACCACAATTGTGGAAACCCATTTTCCTACTTGAATTTGGTAGACAGGAAATCAGGAACATAAGTGATACTATCTTCCCCTTACAGGTGTGAGAATTATAGAAATCACAGGAAAATCTATCTCAGGTTTCAATGATAATAAAAGTATTAATTACTACAATTATATAAGCATTCTCTTCCATGTTTAGGGGGAAAGGAGACACTCAACATTTCAGATGCAAACTTTTCCTTTCCTTTTCCCTCACACAGACTCAACCTAAAAAAAAAAGACCCTTCCCAGCCGGGCACCATAGCTCACACCTGTAATCCCAGCACTTTGGGAGGGCAAGGCGGGAGGATCACAAGGTCGGGAGATTGAGCACATCTTGGCTAACATGTGAAACCCCGTCTCTACTAAAAATACAAAACTTACCTGGGTGTGGTGGCATGCACCTGTGATCCCAGCTACTCAGGAGGCTGAGGCAGGAGAATCGCTTGAACCTGGGAGGTGGAGGTTGCAGTGAGCCAAGGTCGCGCCACTGCACTCCAGCCTGGGTGACAGAGCGAGACTCTGTCTCAAAAAAAAAAAAAAAGAAAGAAACAAAAAAAACAGCCACCCCATGAGTTGTAGCCTCTGAACTGTAAATATCTGGGGTCCTGGCAGAACATACAGGGTTGAAGGTAGAGAAGTTGCAAGGGGCAACTGTTGGCTGAACAAATCAAGGAATAATTTCTATTATGTGAGAATTTACATACTTACGTTTTAAAAAAAAGTCCTTATACTTAGAAAGGTTGGGAAATACCAGACTGGTCTATACTCAATGTCTTCATCTCTTACTCAATTCCAGACAGTCTGGCTTCTGCCCCTATCAACTTCACTTACAATTGTTAAGTCCTTATATTACTTGCCTTTTCTGTAACCTTTAATTATGTTGCATGCTCCTTACTTGGATCTTGCTCTCTGTCTTCTTTTGGCATTCCATCATGTTCTACTCTCTTGGCCTTTCTCCTATTTTTCTGACCATTCTTTCTATAACTCCTTTGCCAGAATTCTTTTTCTCTGCCCATATTGCACACACTGGTATTCCCTGGGGTCATGTTCTTGGCCATCTTCTCACTTTGCATGTTTTTCCTGAATGATCTCACCCCTGCTGTGGCTTCAACCATGGCTTGTGCCTGGATAAATCCCAACTCTATCTTAGGGATACAAATTTCCATACTTCGCTCATGGGCGACAGACTCATATGCATAACTTCCTATGGTACATATCCACTCTAGAACCCCAAGGAAGTTTAGCATGCCCCAAACTAAACTTAACACATTCCCTCCTTCCATCCTCCAAGTTGCTCCTTCTCCTTTTTTTTTTTTTTTTTTTTACCGAGTTTCGCTCTTATCACCCAGGCTGGAGTGCAGTGGCACGATCTCAGTTCATTGCAACCTTCACCTCCCAGGTTCAAGCAACTCTCTTTCCTCAGCCTCCCAAGTAGCTGGGATTACAGTCATGTTCCACCGTACCTGGCTAAATTTTTTTGTATTTTTAGTAGAGACGGGGTTTCGCCATGTTGGCCAGGCTGGTCTTGAACTTCTGACCTCAGGTGATCTGCCCATCTCGGCATCCCAAAGTGCTGAGATTACAGGTGTGAGCCACCGTGCCCGGCCTCCTTTTTCCTTTATTTGCTTGAATGTACCACTTTTCTCATATTCCCCCAAGCCAGACATGTGGGATTCATCTTTGAACCCTCTACTCTCTACCTATGAAGCATCGGAGCCTATGAGATGATGATTTAAATTCTTATTTCGCCCTTCTCTTTCTCTTCCTACCTATAACCCAATGCCTTACTCCATTTGGGGGCTGGGTTTCTACAAATTTTCTAACTGGTCTCCCTGTCCCAGTCTGTGTTCTCTCCCATCTCCAACAACTAGCTTTCTATGGCGAGGGTGTCTACATAAATCACAAATCCGATTATGTTACTGTTTTATTTGAAACTTTGACTTGGCCTCCTGTTGTCCTTGGATAAAGTTTGAATTCTTTTGCATAGCATAAAAGGTTCTTCATGATCTGCCTCCTGCCTCCCTTCTAGTGTCATGCCTCAGCATAACCTCCTTCTGTCATATTGAACTACATATTCTTGGAATGGGGAGTGTCCTTTCTTTGTTTTTGTGCTTCTGCACATACTTCTCACTTTTGCTGAAGTGTCTTTCCCAACTTTTCACGCCTAACTCACACATGTCCTCCAAGATTAAGTTCAGATGTCACCATATCCAAGAAGATTAGCAAATAATCTATTTTGGCCATTGTCTCATCTATAGATACAAGTAAGTAAACATTCCCAGTTTTAGCAATGATTGATCTACCATCTAAAATGTTGGGTTCTTATACTACATGTATTTACTTAGTGTATATGAAGGAATTTTGACTCTCTTCCCTCATTATCACTTTACTTCTTGTTGGTAGCAGAGTCCAACTCTCAACCCAAAAGGCTTGGCTGAGTCCTGGTACCTTGCTAGCTCTAGTCTGCACCCATCCCTGAAAAGCTAAATGCTGCCCACATTTTACAGTCATTTTCCAGGCAAAACTGCCACATAAAATTGTGTAGTTTGTGCACTACATACATTCACAACAGAACCTGTGTGGAGATCCTGTTCCAAGCCCCTCCTTTATAGCAAATGATCACCTGAATTTAGAATGCCACAATATACCACTGAAGCTTCAGCCACATTAAATGAATTGGGCCCTCTTGCATGATGAGATTGTTCAGTTTTTAAGCCTTGTTGGTATTTCTTTAGAAAATTATATTTTGATCAAATAGTTGGCTAGCCCTCTCAGGGATGAGCCTATGGCCAGCAAGATACAGCAATGTGTGTTAAAACAAACAAACTAACAAAAACAACTTGCATTTTGAAGTCAGCCAGATCTGGGTTTGAATTTTTGTTCTGCTAATTGTGTAGCCCTAGGCAAGCTTCTTAATCTCTTTGATCTTCATTTTACTTCTTCATTGGATAGCAAAACTTAACTTACAGGGAGATCATAGTATTAAATAAGTTAATATATGTAGACCACCCAGCACTGACCCTGACTGGTTTATGTTTGCTCTTCCTCCTCATTGTAGAGGAACAGCACAGGGCGCTTTGTGGCACAAGGTGCCATAGATTAAGGTGCAACAAACACATATCATCTATTTACTTGACAATTCTATGTACTCATCTCATCTAGGCATCTATGACATCCAGGGCATCAAAGAGGACATTGGTTATAAATTTTCTAGTTATATGCCCTAGGTTCAAAGGAAGAGGAGCTTCAAGCTAAAATTATTGCCATTCACATTTTTTGGTTTTGCTGCAATATTCTCTTGCTTACTTACTGTTTTCATTGTGTAAGTTCTTAGCAAACATTTGATTTCTCTCAGCTGCCACTGTTTCTCTCACTGCCATTGCTACTATAAATACTGGGACTAATTGGAGGAATGAGAGGCTTTAGGATTCTCTTGTCTGTAATAATTCATATTATTTTTTAAAAAACACAAAGCAAGGCAGCCCAGACTAGAGATTCTTGAAGACACAGGGTCCACAGGATCAAAAATGGCATTTGGGAACAGTAAGGGACAATGTTTCAGGGTTTTGTGAGCAAGCTGGTGGTAGAGCTGGAAGGATGTTTCAGTGGCAGATGGAATGTGTTTCCTCTGTGGAGAGAATAACTATCATTCCTTTGAACTAGTGTTCCAGGTAAATCTTTGAACAATTCATTTGAGAAAACATAACAAGGTTTTTAATAGTTAAACCTTCTCAGAAGAGCCCCGTCCAGTGTTTTCCTGCCAGACCACACTGCCACATGAAAGGGGAAACTAACTTATGTTAATGTCCAAAAGGCTGGGCTCTGGGAAAATAAAAGAAACCAAAAGACGAAAAGATGAGTGTCAAGAAATCCATGAAGGATTTTTCAAGCTAGTTGAATTGCTTATGCCAACTTCAGTCCTGATTCCATACTTAGCATGAAGAGGCAATGAACTCAGTGGGAGGGACATGAATTTGCTGCGACAGAGGTAATGAGTTGGAATCCCACCCCCCAGCACTATGGCAGTCACTAAGGCTGTGCACAGATAGTCTAGTTCTCGCTCCTGGGCTGCAGCCTAAGTTTGACCAATGAAATGTGAACACAGTAAGGCAAGTCACTTCTGAATGGCAGATTTAAGAGCAGATGCATCCTCTTTCTTTTGCTGTTATGATACCCAATATGCCAATTCTTGCTTCCCTGTTAGCTTGGGCCCCAGGGTGTGGAACATGATGATGCAGAGCCAGCCTCCCAGGGACTCTCAATCCCACATTCAAGTAGCATAAGAGGGAAGTAAACTTTTATTATTTGGTGTCCCAAAGACTTTGGGGTTGTTTGTTACTGCCACATAATTTAGTCTACCCTGATGAATACAAACACTTTCTGCAGATTATTGAGCATAACTCTTGTTCCTTTAAACATCAGGTTTCTCATTTCTAAAATGGCAATATCTGTAAAAATAGCTACACTTGTCCAACAGTCTAAAATTTGCACATAAACAGTAAATCCTTTTAACAATGGCAATTCTTTTCCTTGCCAGATCTCCATTAAAAAGGATGGAAGAATTTGTCTTCCCAAAGTGACTTCAGAACATATTTCCTTCACAAAGGCTAGCCTTGGATGATAAGAATAGTACCAAAGATAACAAAAATCTCCAATGAACTTTATCATCAGGCTTTCATTAAGGAGCAGAATCCACTGCTTAAACATTAGCTGGTAAAATCTGAGGCTTAAAACTAAAGAATTTTATAGTTGAAAAGTGTCATATCCAAGAGATTTGCATCTCAATGACCAGCCGAGTAGGAGCTAATAGAGCAGCAGAACATCTGGCCAGAGTACTTTCCTGTTCCCAAACCTGAGAGGACGTCTTGCTACCTGCAAGGCTCTGTGAGCCAGAGTACAACCAGGAAACTTGAGCCTTCCATCTGGCACTATTAAATATCCGTCCTCACTGCTCCCCACTATTGGATTTCATTCTTTGCGTTATATGTGTATGTCTGTGTCCCTTAGTAGACTAAATTTCCAGACCACCTTCTTTTCCTACGGGCAGTTCCTATTACAGCATCTATCATGGACGGTCACTAGGTCAGACTTTAAGCATTTCCTGTGAGTGGGGACCTTACTGCCTCCCAAGACTTTTCTATCTATGAAAAGAGTCTTCTTATTTTACATATCAGGACAGACCTCCTTAGAATGCTCCCCTACTTCAAGTCCCATCTCCTAAAATAAAACGGAATACTTCTGCACTCTCTTCTAGGGACATTAGGAAGACAATTATCATGTTGACCTTTAATCTTCAGCTCTCTTCATGGGCTGTAATGTCTAGACATCTCATCACTTCTATCAGGTCTAGACTCTAGTTTTCACAGTCCCTCTTAAAATATGGTGCATAGACCTAGTCTGTCAAGTAACGTACAATTACTTTGGTACAGAAATAGCATCTATTATGGTAATGGTTAATTCTTCAATGACTGACAAGATTTCTGGCTCATTACAGAGACTCAACAAATAAAACTAAATAAATTCATAAGTATAAACAGTACCCTCTGATGTGGTCTATGCCAGTTCATCTGAGACCACATCTTTTTATCATGACCACAGACCTCTGTCCCACCAGTTTTCACTGTACTTCCTTTTCCATGTGTGACCACATAGGAAAACATCTGACTGTTCTGTATCTTATCAAGCAGTAGACTGCATGTGTCACAATCATCTTCCTAAGCACTCTATGCAGCTGCTTTGCTGGCCTCCTCCCTGCTGTCATACCCTAGGAACTATCTCAGGACCTGCCACATCCCTGGGCAACCAAAGTGGAAAGTAGGGTCTTTCCCTGGCCTAAAAAATTCTACAAGGTCTGTTCCCTGCCTCCTCTAGACTCGTCTCATTTCATCCACATACCTCCACCTGCACCTCCACCCTCCACCCTCCACCCTGCAGCTGTGCTCCAATCATACTGCTGTCTTCTGGCTCCTTGAAGATGCCATGTTTCTTTCTGCCTCAGGGCCTTTGCACATGCTGTTCCTTCTGCCTGAAAAAATCTCTCTCTCCCCTTCTATTCCCCTTCATCTAGTTAACCCTTGCACACATCTGCACTCAAACATCATTTTCTCAGAATAGTCATGCCAAACTGACACTCTAGGGCTGGGTGTTATTTGGTCTTCCTAGCATTGTATACTTCTTTTTCAGAGAATTAATCATAGTTCATAATTATGCAGTTTTTATGTTCCTCTCTAAGTTTTGTGAGTGCAGAAACTTTACTTATCTTGATCATTGCGTGGTACTCAGTGTCTAAAAGAGCACCAGACATGTAGTAGATACTCGAGAACTATGTGTTAAAAGAATGTGTCTGCAACTTTCTCCTTAACTTGCAAGCTGCATGAGGGTGGATAGTGTTATTTTTGCAGATCATTGTGTGCCTTAGGGAGGACCTACACAGTAGCTGGCACAAAGTAGGTACTCAATAATGTAAATAAATAAAGAAGGAAGGCAAGATGAGGGGAAGGAAGAACATGATTAAGACACATAACCAGTAATAACACCTCCTTTACTCTCAGAAGTGTCTCAGTTTGGACAATAAATTACATGGTCACTGTATTTATGTCTTATTAATGTTTTGAAGATTTTTTAGGTCAGAGAGCAAGGTATGTGAAATAAATTAGGACTTGGAAATGTGCCTTATCTCTACAGAGGAGTTACAAGGCAGTCAGGAAGCCAGATAGGACAATTCCATTTCTTATGGTCCCTAAGAAGTCACAGGAGTCTTACAGGTGTTCTGAGTCTCAAAATGGGCTGTCTCTATCCACCTGCTTGTGGAAGCTCAGATCTGAACTTGATTTCTTTTTTATATTAGTGGAAAACCAACATATCTCCAAAACATTTCCCTACCCTATAGCATACACACACACACACCACACACACACAGATGAAAGATGTCTTGGCTCGGCTCAGTGGCTCATGCCTGTAATCCTAGCACTTTGGGAGGCCAAGGCGGGTGGATCACCTGAGGTAAGGAGTTCAAGACCAGCCTGGCCAACATGGTGAAACCCCATCTCTACTAAAAATACAAAAATCAGCTGGGCGTGGTGGTGGGCGCCTGTGATCCCAGCTACTCAGGAGGCTGAGGCAGGAGAATTGCTTGAACCTGGGAGGCGGAGGTTGCAGGTTGCAGTGAGCTGAGGTTATGCCACTGCACTCCAGCCTGCAGGATGGGAGTGAGACTCCATCAAAAAAAAAAAAAAAAAAACAGAAAGAAAAAGAAAAAGAAAAAGAAAGATGTGTGAGTCCATCTTGGCTGCTATAACAAAATAACACAGACTAGGAGGCTTATAAATAACAGGTTTATTTCTCACAGTTCTGGAGTCTGGGAAGTCCTAAATGAAGGCACTTGCAGATTTGGTTTCTGGTCTGGGCCTTCTTGCTGTGTCTTCACATGGTGGAAGGGGTGAGGGATCTCTCTTGAGATCGTTTTTTTTTAACTGTTTTTTTGAGATGGAGTCTCGCCCAGGCTGGAGTGCCATGACATGATCTGGGCTCACTGCAAGCTCAGCCTCCCGAGTTCACGCCATTCTCCTGCCTCAGCCTCCCAAGTAGCTGGGACTACAGGTGCCTGCCACCGCACTGGGCTAATTTTTTGTATTTTTAGTAGAGACAGGGTTTCACCGTGATCTCGATCTTCTGACCTCATGATCCGCCCGCCTCGGCCTCCCAAAGTGCTGGGATTACAGGCGCGAGCCACCGCGCCCAGCAGAGACCTCTTTTATAAGTATCCTACTCCTGTTCATGAAGGCAGGGCCCTTATGACGTAATTACCTTCCAAAGGCCCCACCTCCAAATGCCATCACATGAGGGATTAGGTTTCAAAATATGAATTTTATTTTATTTTATTTTATTTAGACAGAGTTTCACTCTTGTTGCCCAAGCTGGAGTGCAATGGTGCAATCTCGGCTCACTGTAACCTCCACTTCCCAGGTTCAAGAGATTCTCCTGCCTCAGCCTCCTGAGAAGATGGGATTACAGGCGCCCTCCACTACACCTGGCTAATTTTATTTTCAGTAGAGATGGGGTTTCACCATGTTAGCCCAAAGTGCTGGGATTACAGTCATGAGCCACCGCGCCCAGCCAACATGTGAATTTTGAGGGGGCACAAACATCCAGTCAATAACAGGGGAAGGCAGAGAAGAGAAATATGTGACTTTTTATGTTTTCACCCATCTCCAAAAGTCATGGCTTATGACCTGAAACTTTCCCTGTAAAGCTAGTTCATATTCCCTAGGACAAGCCTGATGAAAATCATGAAAGAGAGAGGTATGTTTGAGCCCAAATCTAAAGAAATCAAAATTATTCTGTCTTGTCCCTCTCCCTCACCTTATAGTAAAGTTTTCAGAGCTGAAATTCTGAACTAGTTTGTTATCAAGTTTAATAGAGAACAGAGTTCATTCCTGACACTTAAGTTCTGGGAACCAACATAGTTCTCAGAGTCCAAAATCTATCTCCCAGTGTCCAGTGTAGTTTTTTTTCCCCAAAACTTCTTGCCACCTTGGACTTATCTCTCTATGTACTATAGTGATAGTTTACTGTAGCTAGGGTGCCCAGGGAGTCACTTAGACCCACTCCTTTCACATTTCAGTGTGAGTTGCTGAGCATATTCAACAGGAGCAGATACTTTCCACACACAAACACACACACACACACACACACACAGCCCTTACCAATGCGTCTCAGTTCCTTTGAATATGAACACATATATGCTTACATTTAACCATAGGAATGTTTATAGGAATAAATGTTGCCACTCATGATATATAGACGTGGTTCGGCAAACATATATATCTACATTTTATTCATATATATCAATTCATTCATTCATTCAACACATATATACTAAATGTTTTCTGAACCTAGCTCTGTTCTAGTTGCTTAGAACATTAGTGAACAAATATAGTTTGTTTCATGAACAGACCAGAAAAATAGCCCTGTCCCTCCTAGAGTTTACATTTCAGCTAGCGGGGGTTGATGGAAGGGGAGGAGAGTAATGATAAAAAGTAAATGTAATAAATAAGTAAATTATATGATATCTTATAAGGTAATAAGTTCTAGAATAAAGTAATTTAGATAAGCACATGGGCTGGAATGAGTGGGCTGCAATTTTAAATAGAATGATTGAGTGGTTATGTAGATTTCATTGAGAAGCTAATATTTGAACAGAGACTTAAAAGAAGTGATAAAATAGTCCTCATGATATCTCATGGCTTTGGTGTCTTCTCTGGTCTCATGACCTAAGATCCATAGTCTGGTGGATCTGATATGGGTATTTCATTTACAGGGAGCAACCAGTACAAAAAACTCTAAGGTGAGAATGTACTTGACATTTGTGGGACAGCAGGGAATAGTTTGGAATATAATGATGGAGGGAGAAATATTACAGTCATAGGGGAAATAGTCAGGGATGATGAGGACCAGATCATGTAACTCACATGGATATAATATATAGATGCGGTGTGTGTATGTATGGTACACATACCTGGATGTGTTTGTATTCTTACTCTTAAATGTATTTTTAGACTTACATGTATTTTCATATAAATGCCTATTGTAAATGTATAGAGAAATATAGTATGTTATATTTGCATGACACCATCTATTTGATTATGGAGATATATGCTTTATCTATGCTAACAGATGTTCACTCATGTATCTATTGTGCAATTGAGTGCACATGTGAATTTATGGAATATGTGTAGCATCCTGTATGCGTGTGTGCATGTGTACTTATATACTATATTACTGTACCTGTCTACTAATAGCCTGCATCATTTCAAATGACAGAAAAGTCTCATGGGTGTGAAATTTTGTGAAATATCCATGCATTCGTGGTTTCTCTCTGCAGACACCTGGCAGGAGACAGAAACTCACATCATTCCTCCTGACCATTACTCCTCCAGAGAGAACCTTGTTCCCTGGCAGAAAGCTTCAGTGCTAAAACTAGCAAATACCAACAGGTTTCAAAGACTATGGATCTTAAGTCATGAGACTGGAGAAGACACCAAAGCCAGGACCATTTGATTCTGGAAGAACATGCAAGTGTTCTATGACATTGATAAACCATTGGCCTCATTCTGGTATTTGGCCATTTATCACAGTAGTTAAAATTGCCAGCCTGTTCTTTGTTACATCCTATAAGACAATTTCTTTTCTTTTCTTTTTTATCCTTTTTCTTCAACTTGTTGCTGGCAAATAAATTGCTGATACATTCAGATTTCAATTTGAGATTTTATTCTTAAAAAGCTTTGTGTTATAGGGTGAGATATGAGATTGTTTTTTCTCTCTTCTTTTTCATTTTCCATACTTGCCAAAGTTGTAAACCTAAGGCCAAGTTAATTAAAGTCAATGGAGAATGTATTTTTTTATTAAACTTTCTCTTTCTATTGATTTTTTCCTCTCATACAAATAGTACAGACTTAGCTCTTGAAATCAAAAACACTGTAGAGCAAAGAAACAGAATAATTGGGCTCCCAAGATGATTTACAAACTCTGACATAGGATTTCAGAGATGGCTAAGATTTCAGAGTGGCTAAACTGGCAAGATGGTGAGAATCAAGGTCAGCTAAGGACAGACAGACCCAGCTGTGTGCCAGCTAAGGTTTGTGAGGCCAAATTCCCAGGTATATTTGGCTTATAAAACTGTGTTGGTTTCTCCATGGTGCAAACATGTGGACCATTGCAACAGCCTCCTAGTTTTTCTTTCCACTTTTATGCTCTTCCCTCAAATCCATTTTCTATCCAGTAGCTGGATGTATCTTCCCAAGGAATAATTCTGATGATGCCATTTTTAGGGTCAAAGTCTTCAATAGCTTCCTTTAGTCGAGGGTCAGCAAACTACAGCCCATAGGCCAAATCCAGCTCAATGCCTATTTTTGTAAATAAAGTTGTATTGGAACTATAAGGAAGAGCTTTCTCTCTCTTTCTCTCTTTCTCTCACTCTCTCTTCTCTCTCATCAATATGAACTCAAGGATTCCTATTTTATGCAACGAGTGGTTGCATAAAATGTTACAATCTTTATTTATTTTGATGGTTAAATTGTCCTAGATTTGGCCAGCAGGAGCCCTTCAACCTGACTCTTATTTCCTTTGACTTGTTACCATAATCTTTGAGCATTTTTCTATTTTCCTACTTTCTGGTGCCAAAAATGTATTGAGCTCATCTTACACTTTTCCTGCCTCAGCCTTGGAATCAACCCTTTTTCCATGGGACCTTGTTTCCTTTTAGCAAAAAATTATATTTGGAAAGCAAGATATGGGAGCCCGGTGTGCACATTGCTACTGGAATGGCATTGTTTTTAGGTCCTTTCAGCAGTAAGAAATATATGCATATGTATATACATACATTAACACACATGCATATACATACATACATATATATACACATCTATGTTTATTTCTACATCTATGTGTATATATATATACATATTTTAAAACAAAGCTATGAGTTTACTCCTGTATCTCCAGTTCCAATCTAACACTTCAGGTTTCTCTCTAGACTTCTCCATTCCATATTTATAAATCTCTTCTCCAATTATGCTCAATATTGACTCTGATATTTTAACAAACTTAAGAGCAACGATCTTTTCTTGCCTTTGCATTCACCAGAGAGCTGCCAATGTGTTCAAAATTCAGGGACTCGATAAATCAGTGCTGTTCTTTAGTGCCTGGGCCAGGGGCAACCTTGACTTTAGCAACGAAACTACAGACTGAAGAATTTTCAAGAAATCCGGAGGCTAGTTCTGTGCCTCACTGTCTGCGTGTGACAAGCGATCTCTTTAACTGACATTACGGGCTTCTTAAAATGAGAAATGAAAAAAATATTCTCAAAGTCTCTCTGAGACTCTCCAGAGACAGATGCTGTATAAATTTAAAGTGTAATCATTGTTGCTGTGTGGAAAAAATGTTCTCCATCCATCTTGTTCTACAATAGATGGAGAATGTTCTCCAGGATCACTGCTCTTCTCAGGCTTCTAAACAGGTAAAACAGCTAAATATTGCATTAGATGCAATGGCATCAGTCAAAATGAATTATAAGCAACACTTAACTCTCGTATTTTTAAAATTTATTTTACTTTAAAAAATGCAGCACAACATAGGGAATACACATGAACCTATCTTGCTACTTAAAGTAGGGAATGCTTTCAACTCAGGTCAGATGGGGCGTGCTCTCTAGGGTGAAGCAATAGACAATAAGCTAGAAGCGTCCAGGTGGCCTCAACCAAAGATAACTCTGTCTTTTCTTCAGTTTGCAGCATCACAGAAAATGATGCTCTCTCCTGCCAAGTCCCATTTTTTGGGAGGAGGAAATGGATTAGGTCCTGGAGGTTGTCATAAATGCATCAAGTGACTTTCTCAGCATCATCTGAAACAGTAAGTGAAGAACAAAAACTCAAAGAATGCTACCCTCTCCATTTACCTAACAGCTGCTTTCTGGCCTCCAGATGTAGTTCTCTTAGAGCATGATTATTTATTTCTGGCTATATTTCAGTCCATTAAACTTAGAGACTTATACAGACATAATCTCAGTTTCAAGCCCTGCCTAGGATCAGACAGAATAGCCAACATAGAGGGACCTTTAGGAAACTTCTTGTCTAATTGCATCTCTTTATAGATGAGAACATTTTATAGATAAGACTTGTCCAAAACAAGTTCCACTCTACCATGCTTTACTTCCCTCTCCCTTGTGATTTGTCCTCCTGATTCAAAAGCTGTATCTTGGTTAGAGGTCAGCTCTGGGTTTAGCTACTTTTCAAGATATCACAGTTCCTCAAAATAATTTTTGATTAAGAGAAAATGATAAACTAAGATTTTGCTCTCAGTCTCAAACTGCATGCTTGGCATAATGGAAAATGCATTAAAATGACTCTTATTCTAACACTGCCACCAACCAGTTGAGTGATCCTAACCTTTCTGAACCTTAGTTTCCACATCTTTGAAATGATAGTATTGGATTAAAATATCCACTCATTCCCCAAAAACGTACTGAACAAAATAGAAATCCTTCCCCCCACCTACTTTATTTGGCACTGGACCTTGGGCAAATTACTAAACCTATCTGTAACTCAGTTTTCTCATCTGTATAATGAGGAATAATAGAAGTACCTACTTCATTGCTTTGTTGTGAGGATTGAATGAGATGCCCACACAAAGCACTTACAACAGCAATTGGCATATATGGCAAGTGCTCAATAATTGCTTGCTGCTATTATTATTATAGTTATCATTATTATTATTACTACTATTCTTTCCATGCTCCTATTCTTGGCTCGTGCTGTTTCCTCTGCCTGAGTTGATCTTCCTCTCATCTGCACGTCCAAATCCTACCTGCCCTTCAGGGCCCACTTCAAATACTCTCCCAAGAAACCCTCCCTGATTCTCACCAGCTTCTTCCCTGGAACACCCACCCATGGTACACTGACATCACCATCTCATTTAAATATCATATATACTCATCTATTATCTGTCCCTCAAGGCTTCTTGATGGCAGGGTTTCCATCTGACTCGTCTTTGAATTCAAGTGGCTGGTGCAGAACCCAGCAACTTGTAGGGAATTAGTAAATATTGGTTGAATGAATGAGGTATAACATTGCTAAAATCGTATGTCTACACTGGTTGTATAAATGGTTATATCAATCCAACCAAGAGACATTTTTTTCTAAATGTTGTTAATTAAAAGCTGAGGATATAGAACCCCCCCTCTCAAAAAAGAAATCTACATTACTGATCCTAAATGCTAGTCCTTAGACCAGTTCAATCCAAATCATCTTTGGAGTTCTTTAAATATGTGAAAACCTGGTACCCATCTCCCAAACGTTCTCATTCAGTAGGTTTTTGTGGGAATGGAGGTGACTCAAAAATCTTTATTTTTAAAAGGCTTCACAAGGGATTGTGATGTATAGACAAAATGAGGATGCTCAAGTGTATATTATGTCTAACAACTTTCTTAAGGTTTCCTCCCCCAAATGACTAATTTTAATACGTAACCATAAAGTCCGAGAATTTTTTGCTCTTTTTATGTTGTCATAATCAATGGGTTTTTTTTTTTCCAGATTGAAGATCCTAAAAAAATGATAGCAGCTTTTAAGAAGGACTATAGTGGAACAAGCAATATTCTAAGTGACAAGAGACACAGATTCTAGAATAAACTTAGCCAAATATGTATGAACTCGAACAATCTCCTTTGCCTCTCCAGGTTTTAATTTCCCCATCTTTACAATGGAAGCAATGACAACAGCAGCATGCAGCTAGTTTGGAGATTTTGAAGTCAGATTGGCTATTTAGCATTAACCCACCATGGTGCTGGTTGATCTTGCTAGATACAAATCTGTCATAAGTGAAAGCATCTTGACGGTGTCTTGGAAGCTGACTGGAAAAATACTGCTTTTAGCAGTACCTTTAAAGCAACAGGAGCTTTTCTGCATTGCATAGAGACAGAATGAGCTTTGTGTAAACTGTGCTGTAGCCACGTTATTCTGAAAGCCCATTGGGAAGATGCCAATAGTAATTCAGCTCAAATAATCTCTATTAGCCATAACCCTTTTGGTTGCAAGAGACAAAAACATGACTGAAATTATTTTCGGCTAGAAGGATCGAGGAGACTTGCAGCATAGCTTTGAGAACAGCTGAAATTAAAGACATGAATGCTGCAAGTGTCTCTGCCACTCTTTGTGTATTAACTTTATGTGCTCAGCCTGGCTTCCTCCACACTGCAAGGGATATGGCTGTTGCTTATATTTTCATCTCCATCTTTGCCACCAGAGAGGGACTGCCTTTTGTCTTGTTCCAATTTGGGAATTCCTGGGGAAGGACTACTCTGGCTTGGGTCACATGTCCACACCCTGAATCAAACATCTGAGGTCATGGAGAAGTACACTGATTGGAAGATCCTACTAATATTAAAAAGTTTGAGGAAGAGAAGCAATTGCCTCTATAAAGGGATGCTACTCCTAGAAAAATGATGGGTGCTGAGAAGGCCAAATGATCAGTGCCTACTGAACTGTCCCATAGGTATTTAGGTAGATATGGGTAATAAAGTTCTTGTGAACTAGCCCACTACATGGAATGCAATGTAAGGAAACACAGCTTGGTTCTGACACCAACTAGCTGTGTGACCTTGGACCTCATCATTCATCTCTCTGAATTTTGATTACTTATATAAACAACTGTCTTCCCCCTCACCCCGCCTTGAGTAGGGCTCTTTGAGATTGGACAGAAGGTATTACTTATATTTACATCTGCAGAACTGAGTACAAAGTATAGCCCTTAATTAGTACCCCATGATGTGGGTGTTTTTTAAGTTAATATCCAAGCAAAGTTTTTGATGTTGCTTACTGAGATACTTGTAACAACTAGATTTTCTTAATGAAGAAAAGGGTGAATGGAAAATAAACAAACAGGATAAAGCCAAGTGCATACCATAAAGTACTGTTAGAAAACAATGATGATACATTTGCCTTTAAGCTTCCTAACAGTCAGAGCAAAGATGGGAGATGAAAAGACACTCTATAATTAGGGTTGCCAGATATAGAAAAATAATAACAGAAAGCCAAGTTAAATTTGAATTTCTGATTAAAATGAATAATTTTAGTATTCTATATTTATGCTGTATTAAGGATACATTTATACTAAAAAAATTATTTAGTGTCTATCAAAAATTTAGCTTCATCTGGATGTCCTGTATTTTATCTGGCAACACAATCTATAATCAGGTTTTCCATACCCAAAAGATAAGGACCAAACCAGTTGCTCAGGTGATGTTGAGTTTTTCCTAATACCAGATTTCTCCTAATAAAAGAGTAATGGGATGCCTAATAATACTTGGTTAACTGAGCTTTCCCAGACTCTTGGTTTTCTCCTCTGTACAATGAAGGAGTTTGAATCAACAGCCTATAAGCCTCCTCCTTGTACCAATGTCCTGTGATTGTTTGTGATTTTTCATACCCTGGGATTATGCTTTTTGACTAGATGGCTCTGCTGCAGCCAAAAACTACCAACTGGAGTACTTTCATTTAGCTGAATTATTTACTTCACTCAAGGTGGTGATGTAGCCATGCTCTGATTCCCCAAACCTTTTGTGCCAGTTCTGGCTGGTGGCTCTTGTGCCCAACCCAAAAGGACTAGAGAGAGTCGCTTTCCCTCTTTCACTCATTATACATGTGCATTTTACTGCTAACCTCCTAGGCCCAGCAGGAGCAGTGGTGACTGTAGCTTTTCTGAAGGAAGTTAAATTGAGGGCTGGAGTGTAAGTACTGCCCAGGAAGCAAAAGGAGACTCAGGGAAACAAAGCAACTAATCCTAGGTGGTTTGGCCAGTAAGTCATTGAGTGCTGACTTATATCCAAATTCTATAGCCTTTCCACTATGTAACACTGTCTCACAAAGAAGCTGAAGCCCAGAGCCTTGGAGAAGTTTGTTTAGTTTACCACAGTAGGACCCAAGTGAAGCATTTATTGCCCTAGTGAAGCTCTCTGAGTTTAGATTCTTTTCTTTAACTTATTATTTTTATTATTTTTTGAAGCCTGCATGTTTGAGAAAAGAGAGTCTGGAAAATACTTTCTGTTTTCTGAAATCAAAAGTTTTTTTTGTTTCATGGACCAAACTGGTAATATTTCAATGAAAAGATGTCAGGCTTACAAGATCAGGCCTCTAGACCACCCTTCCAACCTTCTCACTTGGTTTCTGTCTGCCCTGAGATGGCCTAATTCAGTAGTCAGACAACTGTTTGCATTTCCCTGAAGATACCACATCCTCCCAAGCCTTTGAGCCTGTCCTTACCTTTTCCAAGATCCAGCTCAAGAATCACAGCTTCTGAGAAATCTCTCCTAGTTCTCTCAAGCAGAGCAAGGCATTGTCAATCAGCTCTGGGTGCCTACAACTCTTACTACATAAGATTATGATTCTTCGTTTACACATCATTTGTCCACTAAATCATAAGGTCCTTATAAAAATTTTTGCTTTTTTATCTGTTTATTTTATATCTACATACCTCCAGCATTTAATGTAGCACCTAGTATAAAGTTCGAGCTCAGTAACTATTTGCTGAAGGGAGAAAAGAGGAAAAGGAGGAATGAAAGGAGGGAGGCAGGAATGAAGAAAGAGTATTTGTATTAGAGTTCTTCAGAGAAAACCAAGAGAATCTGTGTGTGTGTGTGTGTGTGTGTGTGTGTGTGTGTGTGTGTGTGTGTGTGTGTAGCGAGAGAGAGAGAAAGATTACGAAGTATTGGCAAACATTCATTGATGACATAGGCCAGGTAGTCCCATGATCTGCCTACTGTGAACTGAAAAACCAGGAAAGTTGGTGGTGTAATTTGAAGGCCTAAGAGCTGGAGAGATGATAGTATAAATTCCCATCTGGGTTTGAAGGCCTGAGACAGGATCGCCAAGGCAGGGAGAAGATCGATGCTCCAGTTCAAGCAGACAGGCAGAGAGGGTGAATCCTCCCTTCCTTTACATTTTTGTTCTATTCAGATCCTTAATGAATGGGATGATTCCCAGTCACACTGGAGAGGGCAATCCACTTCACTCAGTCCACCAATTCAAATGCTAAACTCTGGTAGAAACTCCCTCACAGATAGATACACTCAGAAATATTGCTCGGGCAGACGTCTGTGCATCCCATGGTCCAGTCAAGTTGACACATAAATTAACCTATCACAGTTTCTGTGCAGTCTGCAGAAGAAAGGAAGCCCACTGATGTTTTGTTTGTTTCTTCTATTATTATTCTCTTGGTGACTTCTTTTAACAGTTTCCTTTTATTTGTTTGTGGGCTTTATACATAACCAATTTTTAATAAGTCCCCACTGTTTTTTTAATATTGAACCATTAGGATTAGGACTTACAATTGTCTGGACTGTGCCACAAGGTCTGAATCAAGGCTCAGGATACATTGGGAGGAAATCTGTCATTATCTACCTCAGTTTTTTCTTTGGTTTGTGTCTTCTCTCTTTGTACTTTCGGGCATAGGCTCAGTTAGTTGCTCATAATACAAGGATAAATGCAATGAAAGCAATTTGCCAGTGCCATTCACTTGCACATCCAGTCATGTCAGCAACTGCTGCCAATTTTCCTTCATAAATATTTTCCATATCTGCTTCATCTTCTCTAAACACCCTGCCACTGCGTTGGGCCAAGCTTTCCACCTCTCTCTTCTGAAGGATTGCCACAGCCTCATGGTGTTCAACCAGCCTCTCCACTTCCCTACCTCTGATCTATCCTCTATCCAACCACCAGAGTGAGTTTACTAAAACTCAGCTCTCAATTGCTTAATTGTCTTTGTCTTCTATTAGTTTTCAACAAAAAGAACTGGTTTCTCTAAGAATAACACTGTTCGCATTGGATGAGGGTCTACCCTAATAATTTCATTTTAAATTGATTGCCTCTTTTAGGACCCTGTCTTCAAATAAGGTCACATTCTGAGGTGCTGGGGATTAGGAGTCTACCATATGAATGTTGGAGGGGCACGGTTTAACTCATAACATCATCCATCCAGCCCCTTTCATACCTCCTTGTTTTTACACATATTGGTTCATTTGCTTGAGATTCTTTTCCTCCCAGCTCCTAAGTGCCACAGGTAGATTTGAATAATTAAAATCTTCTATTTTCTCTTCATCTTGTTCATCATTTTCTTGTATTCCTCTTCTATTATAACCTTTCTTTCAATGAATAATATTTATTGGTTTCCATGTCTGTCTCTCTAATTTGCCATTTTGCCATTTTTGTTCCTAGTGCCTAACAGTTTTTGGCATAGTGTGGATAATTAGATGTGTTAGAATAAATAAATTAGAAGGGATGAGACACAGAAATTGACACATAAAGTGAGCGCCCCGAAAAGCTTAAAAAAGTTATCCAAATGAAGAAAACGAGGAAGAACTTTCCAGGCCTGTGCAGATAAGTGACACAATTATTAGTATAAAAATTAGTGAGTTAGAAATTATAGAAAGTGTGACTAGAAATGTAGGCAGAGACATATTATAAAGGGCCTTGTGAGCCAAGGAGTGTGGTCAGTATCTTATACTCATTCATTCATTTTATACACACACACACACACACACACACACACACACACACATTTACTGACTTCCTAGCACATCATGTTAAATCATTGAAAAGTCTCAAGAAAGGAAATGACATGGCCACATTTGTTTATTAGAATATTATTAGTTTTGGTAGCAAAGTAAAGACAGATTGAAGAGAGTCAAGACTGGAAACAGGGGGGCCATTGAAGAAGTTGTTGCCCTGGCCCAGGCCTGAGATGATAAATAAACCAGCACAGATATTACAGAGATTGGGGTGGGGTGGTGGGGGGAATCACAGTAATACTTAGAAAATAAAAGCAAATAAATTTGATGGCTGATTAAACAAGAGACAAAAGGGAAGTTAAGGAGGAAAAGATAAATCCCATGTTTGGCTGGGTGATTGGTTGGATGATAGAGCCATTCCTAGAAACTTCAAAGATAGAAGAGAATCCAGTTGGAATGCATTTAGAGGTGGGATGGAGTAGGGGATGAAATACAGAGGAAGATAAAAGTTGAGTTGAGTTGCAAGTACTCAAGAAATATCCCATGGGAGATAGCAGATAGATGGCCATCTCTACCAGTCTGAAACTTGAGAGAGGTTCTGGCTGGAGATGTGGATACTGTAGTCATCTACATAGAAAATATAACTGAAGTCATGGTAATAGATCCATATTTCAGAGAAAATGGATATAGCGAGAGGAAGTCAGGATTAATGATAAAACTCTAGGCTTAGTAGCAGTAATCCACCAGCTTTGGCTTTGTCCTATTTGTTGGTAACCCACATATTTGGAAGACTACAGACTTTCTAGGTTCATATTGAATATTGTCATCTAGGAATACATTAGTTTATGAAAACAAATACAATCAAATCCATGACTTTGAAGAGTGACAACCAAAAAAAAAAAAAAAAGCCTCTGGTGATCTCATTTTATTTTGTTCATTTATTTTGCTGATTTTTTTTTATTTGGAGTAATGCAATGTATTAAAAATATAGTCATTATTCATAAACCAAATCTCCCCAAGGAACTCATTCAAAGTTATAATTGCAATAATTAAGTTAGATAAAACAGGTAAAGATTATCTAACCTCTCTTTTCACCTCCATGAAAGAAAACATAGAAGTACACGGAAGTAAAAAAATCTTTACCTGGCAGGAACCCTATTCAATCATCACACAAAATGGGAGGGCTGGAATCCTCCACTTTGAGGGATGAAAACCTAGCTATCAATAACGGGCATGTCACAATTGATCTTTACTAGTAGAGTCAGCCATTTGCAGATACTATTCTGTCAAGCTACATAACCACGTTCCCTCCCCTCAACATCTTGTTTTCTTTCCACTGTCCCAGTGCAGCCATCCAGCCCAGAACACAACAAGAATAGAGTTGATGAGCCCTCTTCTCCTCAACAAACACCTGTGGTAAGCGAAGGCTGTGTCTACTTCTTGACTATTGTATTAATATTTGTCTATTCTTAAACAGTCTCTCCAAATTCTCAATTTTCTTCATCTGTAAAATGGAAATTGTACTGATTTTTCTACCTAATACTCTTGCATTACAAACTACCTTTGGGTTTGACTATTTTCCCTCTAGTAAAATCATTCATAGGATTTTTTCTGGCAGGTTAAGCCTTTCTAATTCCTTGGTTGTGGTATCACAATACCCTTGACATAAAAACCCCACTTCTCCACATTATATTGAGAAAATAATCCAAAAGAAATAGTAAATTTTGTGCCATAGACATTCTTTGAAATATTATCTATCGTAGAAAGATGATATCTCACAACAGGAGATTAATTAAGTAAATATTCACTTAATAGAATTGTATGCAGCTCTTAAAATGGCGTATTTATGAAGAAAGAACTAAAAGGGAAAGGATAAAGGTGATAGCCACTTATATTTCTATAATAATCACAGCTATATGAAAATGATTTAGTCATTTAGGCAAGGACTTTAAGAGGACATTCATAAATGAATTTTTAAAAGTCAAATTCTAATAATCTTGTGGTCATCCCTGCTATTTCCATTTAACGGAAGAGGAAACTGGACTCAGGAATTGCCCAAGACCAGTTTTAATATGTTGAAGTGGCAGTATTGTGAGTGGATTTTCTTCTTGTCATTGTGTCTTCCATTAATGATATTGGATGATTTTATGCAATTTTTGTTTCAATATTTGCTAGAAAGAAGACTGGGACAATGAGTTCTATCTTGTAATAAGTAAACAGTGTGTTCATTTTTAATTCTGCAATTAGAAGTATAAACTTTAGAACTGGGCAGGCTCCGTATTCCATTGCTATTGTGGAAAATGCCTCACAATCATTTTGGAGGTGAGTTCCTCCCACTCTCCATGTCCTGGGTGCTCAAATGGAAAGGTCTATTCACCCCCCTCCTTTGTCTTTTCCCATAATCACTCATGACAGTGGCTGAGAATCTCTGTTGATCATTAATTGGATCAAAGAAATAGGCTTGAGCCATCTCTTTGACTGAAATTGTACCACTGTTGTGAGCCCCATGGCTCTCTCGCTCTCTGTAGCTTGGCTCCAGCCCCTTTAAGACTGCTCATGCAAGCTAGCTCAGCACATCGCTAAGAGAAAACTTGAAGACTCACTTAAATGATTGACCTATTTCTGGGCTCTCTGTTGTTGCAAATTACAAGAATATACTGTGTGCATTTTCAGGTAATTTGATACTATTACCTTAAAACTCACTGGTTCCGCCTCCCCCTTCCCTCCTCTGTTCAGATGGAATATCTGACCTTTTCCCTTGGCAGGCTGTTTCTCTTTTCCAGGTAACTGATGATGATTTTATACCCTGGATGATAATCAATATGTAGAAGCTGTCTTTATTGATTTGGATAAAACCACCAATTATGGCTATTTTGAGCAGAGCTCAATGAGATTAGATGTGATTACATGGCAATGGGGTGTGAGCCCATCAGCAACTCAGGGGCTGCTGTGAGGCTATTTAATTGTTACAGATGAAATGAAAATGGGTGCTTATAACCACTTCCCACTCAGAAGACATACCTGCACACTTCACAGGGCAGAACCTCCAGGCTGGACCACACCTGGCCATGCACTCAGGACTCTATGAGTCTGGTTCACAGACAGCACAGATAAAATGGCTCAAGGAGAACCAATGGCCTTCATGAATCCTGTTTACTCCAGTCTGGGCTGTGTCATTTATACAGAAATCAGAGGCAGCAACGTTTCCAAGAATATATGGATTTCAGGCAGATCAGTAAGAATGTCAGGCAGCAGGAAAAGAACACAGCAGGCTTTAGCTCAGGCAGTACCCTTAGCTTGGAATGTTGGAGTGTCCTTCCCAGAATCCCCATCCTGATAGTCCCAGATTCTCTGCTGCCTCTTCTGAAAACTTTCCTTGTCATCTTTTCTGGAAGATGATTCTATATCCTAGTCATTAGGGACATAGATCTTGAAGTTCCCCTGTTACTTCTTAGCTAAGTAACTTTACACAAGTTACCAAACTTTTCTATGAACAATTTGTACAATAGGGAAAATATTGAAATACTTAAAACTATACTTGGCCCTCATCCCCAGCCTTCCATTTGCAAAGAAAAAGAGTTGGAGCCAGAGATTCCAGTGCACATCTCTGCTCTCTATACTTCTCAGCTATGTAGCTATGCCTACATTTCCTCATCTGCAGTAGTTACATGATTTAGCATGTGCAATGGCCTCAGCCTACCGAAGGTGTGCTCTCTCCCTGATTATTATTTTTCTCCTCTCAATCAGTTACTGAGTGGATTGTCTGGATCTTAGACATCTAGGACCACACGTTTCCCCCAGTCATTGAGGGCTTGGTAGCACAATATGATCATAATAATAATAACAACACAGTTCTATTTCATTCATTGATTCATTTATCCATCCATTCATTCAAGAGGTGTTTATTGAGCATTTATTAAAGGAGGGACTATTACGAGCACTGGGGTATATGGCGCTGAGCAAAACAAATGAGGTGTCTGAAACAATGGAGCCTACATGCCAATGGAAGGGGAGAGATACTAAACATATGGAAACAAATAAATGGAACAAGATAATTTAAGTGCTGTGGAAATATAAATCAGGGTTATGTGACCAAGAGTGACTGGGACATGAGCATTGGGAAAAGGCTGTTGATTTGATTAGACAGTGCCTCTCTAAAGGAAAGACATCAAAACTATGACCTGGAGGCCACAAAGGATCCTTTCAGGTGAAGTTCTGGGAAGAGTTGCAACAAGGTCATTAGGTGGAAACAGACTGGTATGTTCAAGGAATATCAAAGGCAATCTGGACAGTCCATGGCAAGCAATGGGGAAATCTCTTTGAGCAAAAACGCAGGTGCTCCCGCTCCACTGAAGTCATTAGCTCCTATTTATTTCAGGATTCCTGCACTGACTCAGGAACAATCATGACTCAACTCCTGGCTCCCTCGTGGTGACTCTCCAGAGTCACACTGAATGTGGGGCCTGGGCTTTTTGTTCCTGCAGCTCCTGCTATGCCATTTGATATCGCCAGTGTTGACAGAGTTCTAGCCACTGCCCTGTTCTCCTTCATAATCACCACACTAGAGCAAGGACAGAGATGTGTGTTTGGGGAACAGAATATTTCTCCTTATGTGTATTGCACTCAAGACTTAGATCACAGAGCAGACTTGTGATTAGTTCTCTTGCCAGCCCTAATTGAGTAGAATCTATTTATACAATCTTGTCTTCAGTTCATTCAGACTACCCTGGAAGTGGCATCCTAGAACGCTTTTACTAATCTGGGAGTTCAAGACATTTAAAATGTATGGAATCATGCTCTATTCCACATAACTCTTCTCTTTTCTAGTATACTTAGTGGATAGGAGCCCAGACGTGGGGTCAGATGGACCTGGGTTCAAGCTCATTTTCCACTGATTGAGTGAACCTGAGCAAGGGAAATAATCTCCCTGTGCCTCATCTTCCTCTTCTGTAAAATAGGGAGAGTAATAATAACTGCATCATAGCTTATAAAACACCAGGACAGGACCTATCATATAAAAAGACACAATAGTTTTTCTTCATTGTTGTTACTTTTGGACCAAGATGTGCACCTTGACCTTCTACTTTTTTTTTTCTTTTTTATTTTTTTTGAGATGGAGTGCAATGACACAATCTCGGCTCACTGCAACCTCAGCCTCCAGGGTTCAAGTGATTCTCCTGCCTCAGCCTCCCAAGTAGCTGGAATTACAGGCACCCACCACCACGCCTGGCTAATTTCTGTATTTTTAGTAGAGGCGGGGTTTCACCACGTTGGCCAGGCTGGTCTCGAACTCCTGACCTCAGATGATCCACCCACTTCAGCCTCCCAAAGTGCTGGGATTACAGGTGTGAGCCACTACACCCGGCCCTAACTTTCTTCTTTTAAGAAGAGTTCCTTCCCACTTCCTGTGACACTAAGATGTGATTTTTATTCTCCATGGTTGGGACAAAAATGAGACACACCCATCAGCTGGTTTGTTGAGTTACTGATTTCTTAATTACTGAGTTACTGATCCCTCCAAAGAGGATCCCCAGACCCTCATATAAGTAAAACTCTTCTCAGCAGTGCCTGAATTTATAGGAGATAACACAGCTGAGTTCCTTTTTTGGATTTCCTTAAAACTGCACAAAACAAAACAAAACCCAGAGCTCAGACTATACTAGCTACTCTGATTTGTGCAGACACCTGGACATGCATTAAATTCACGGTGTCAGAAAACAAGCATGGAAAACCCACTGAAGCACCAATCCATTTTTCCCCTCTTGCTTTTCATGTGTTTTTGAGTAACCAAAGAACATTCTTGTTTAAAGTAAAAAAAAAAAAAAAAAAAAAAAATACTAGTATAGTTTGCTTTTGGAGAGAGCTCCTTATAAAAGCTGCAGGCTTTTGGGGGGCTGAAAAACAGAACAATTGGAAACTCCAAGTGTGACTTCTGGCCCCATCATTTAAGGCCGAATTCTTCTCTCTGAGACACAGTGATGGTTCCCACTGCATAACTCCCACTGCATGACTCCCGCCATGCACTTAAGTCCTATTCAAAGGAAGAGTAGCCACTCAGCCTGCAGCAAAGGTAGAATATGCAATAGTTCTGTGGTGTTGTTGGAACAGGGCTGACGAGAGAGAATTTTCCTGCTAATCCTCTATCCATTCTGACACCAGCCTGGCATTTGGGAAGTGGAAGGGAGATAAAGATTAGGACTATGTAGGGTGAGCGGAGACATGTAGCAGCCTATATGCAAGTGTCGCTTCTCAAATACGAAACTGAGAAATAGATCACATTTTACACTGAAATTTTGCACTGCTTCTGAGCATCTTGCCAAGAGCTATTCGAAAGACAGCAAATATTTTAGGATTAAGGGTCTCCAAATCTGAGCAGAATAGGCCCAGCCGTGGAGTAGGTCAGCACTTCTGAGGCAGTTGCTTTCAGTTTTCATGGCCATGTTTGTATCCATGTCATGACTGAGTCAGGAAACCCGCCTGTTCTGTTTTGTTTTGTTTTACCAGTTTTGGTTGTTTGACCATCAGATTATACAATCGCTGAGACTCAACATGCTACAACTCAACTTGGCTGCAAAGATAGCAAAACATAGCATTTTTAAAAATCTGCCAGTCTTTAGAGAGTTGAATTGCATAATGTCTGTAGCTTACCAAGTGTTTTTCCATCTTCAGTCTGATACAACCAAACTGAATAGTCTTGACAAGGTGATGTTTATGGTTGCTAAGACAGAAAACAATTCCCACCTTAAGCCCTGTTCTCTCTTCCCTCTGCTTGCTCCCTGGGTGACTTCCTTCTTTCCTTTATTTAGTCATTCAATTGGTTTAAACTTCATTTTAACAAATGAATTCATTCCAATATGCATGTGGTTTTAGCCACCACCTGATGCTGATGGCAGCCTGCTCCCTCTTGTCATCCACAAGTGAGTACTACTGTCTGCTGCATGCACATTTCCACCTGGCTGCCTCATGAACACTTCTGCTCACCCTACATAGTCCCAAACTCTGCATTCCTCACACTTAAATGTAAAGCTTAACTCATTCTCTTTCCTCCTCCTTCTTCTGAATTTCTAATTGATGGAAAGCTATCAGCACATTTTGCCTAAGCCAGAATACTAGGTATAACTATTGACCCAGCTCCCTCACCAATCTTATACAAATTGATTAATAAAACTTGCCCGCTCTGCCTGTTAACATCCCTGAATTCTGTGCCTTTTCCTGTTGTCGCTGTCGCTCAAGCCAACCTCATTTCTTACTGGGATCACTGCATCAGCCTCCCATCATTTCTCCCCACCTCTATTCTTGTCCAATTTCAATAGATTCTATGCAAGTAAGAGTGATCTTTCTGAAATGCTTATTTGACTGTGTCACTCACTACTAAAATCTTTCAGAGGCTCTCCGTGGCCCTCAGTCCAAGCTCCTTTGTTTGGCTTAAAAGTTTTCCATACCTTAACCCTTTCCTACCTATATAGCCCTGTTTTCTACTGCCATCTGCCTACTTCTACCCTCCAACTCTTCCCCAGTCTCTCTACCCGCCTCCCCAGCCTCCTTTCTCTCTCTCACTTCCCTGCATAGATGTATGGAGCCCTTGCTTCTTAAACAGCACTCCTTCTCTTCTCTGCCTATTTCTTTCCTTTTACCCATAAGTTAGCTAGTGGAACATCCTCCAGGAAGAATTCTCTCATCACCCTCCCCCCTTATTAAACTGTGACCTCCTTAAAGATAGGGCCCATGTCTTCTTCACTTCCGAAAGTCGATTTCTAGCAGAGGGCCTCCCACATGGTGCTTCATAAAAACTCAAAGGTTCAATGAGAATTTCCATCTCAGTGTATGACTGACAGTCTAAATGCAGCTCTCAGCCCAACATATTACCCAGAAGGCCTCAAGGACCTAGTGAAGAGTGACTTCCTGGGTCCTCGTGGGTTTTCCCTGCATCCTGAAGTGGGCACACAATTAAATGGCCAGCACTTACAGTTAAAAGCTAAGCAAACCTTCCACACCTTTCTGGAAGTTCACAGTAGCTCTGCTTTCATTTTGCAGATGAGAACATTGAGGCAAGGGAACAGGTGGCCAAAAATACCCTCATAGCCTTGAGAAAGTCCATCTTGATGTTATCCAGTGAAACTTAATGGCAACGCAGGAGCCAGGGAGCCTGCTTTATTTTGGAAATGAAAAAGTCAGTACAGTTGATGAGAATTTGAAGAGAAAAGACACAACAAAGTAGAAGGCTAACACCAATTCCAAACAATAGTAAAGAATCATAATAAAGTTACTATGAATCAAAATATCTCATATTTATCTCATTTATTTCTCACAATTATCTTTTTATTCCTGTTTGTTATAGGAAGAAATTAAAGCTCAGAGAAGTTCCATAACTTGCCCAGAACCTCACACACACTAGTGAACAGCATAGTCAACATTTGAACACCAGTTTGCCTGATTTCAAAGTCTACATTCTTGAATGTGAGGGTGATCTGGCTGTGACATCTGCCACCCACTGATCACCAGGGTTGATTCAGCTGATCTGGCTGTCTGGGCAGATGTCCCCTTCCTCCCTCACCGCTCCATGTGTGTCCTTCCCAAAGCTGCATGCTTGGTTGAAGAGGATGACCATCCCCAATAGAGGAGGGCCAGTCTTCAGTGAAGGGTATACGAGTAGCTGTGCTCCACTGCTAGAACCTCTAAACAAGCTCTCAAAGTCTACATTCTTCATCATCAAGTGATATTACCTCTCTAAAGAGAAAATTGAAAAATTCAGGAAGACTGCTCCTTATGGGTGGCCAGGGCCATATATAGTAAACATTCCTTAACTATCTCTTAAATGAAAATGAGTGAGTGAAAAATTTATCTAGAATCTTCTGCTGGTTCATTTTCAGATTTCTTCCATTTACAGAACAGACTTCCCAGGAGTCCTCAGGCCAAGTCAGAACTGTCTGACTTGAGTTTTTTTTTTTTTTAATGGAGTTTCACTCTTGTCACCCAGGCTGGAGTGCAATGGCACAATCTGGGCTCACTGCAAACTCCACCTCCTGGATTCAAGCAATTCTCCTGCCTCAGCCTCCCAAGTAGCTGGGATGACAGGCAACCGCCACAATGCCCAGCTAATTTTTTTGGTATTTTTAGTAGAGACAGGGTTTTGCCATGTTGGCCAGGCTTGTCTCGAACTCCTGACCTCAGATGATCCATGTGCCTCGGCCTCCCAAAGTGCTGGGATTATAGGCATGAGCCACCATGCCCAGCTGAGATTTTTTTAAAGAGAAAAATCTAACCATTGACCGTATTGGACATGAACAAGATGCCAACAGCTTAAGCAGCATTGTCCAACAGAGCTTTCTGTGACTAAGGAAACATTCTAGAACTGCATTGTACTATCTAGAGGTAGCCACCTGTGGCTGTCCAGTACATGACATGTGGCTTGTGTGACTGAGAAACTAAATTTTAATTAATTTTAATTAATATTAATTGAAATAGTCATATGTGGCCATTAGATGGCAAAGACATTTCATTCAACAATTATTTATTGAACACTGAGCTAGATGATGTTAAGCACTGAACTAGGTGATAAGTGAGGTCAAAACTAAAACAATTCCTTGTCCTCATGGAGCTACAGTCTCATGAAGCTAGATATCAATCAAATAATTATACCAATAAAAATAAGATTGCAATAATGGTGATTGGTATGAATGAAGGTTATAAAGTCTATTGAGATCTGGATTAATCTGAGTGTCTCATGGAAGTTTCCTGAAGAAGGAATATTTGGGTCTGATCTGATGGATGTTAACCAGGTGAGAACCTTCCCTGTAGAGGCAAATTGCCTGGTAGTGACAGACTCAGTGATCAAGGGAGCTCAAAACAGGCATATACTAGAATCTCCCAGGCACAATACAACTTCTATCTCATCCTTCTCTAGAGCCAGCCTTCCTACAGTTACATGCATGCCTAATTGCAGGGCTGGGTAGGAAGCCCCTCCCACTTCTACTCTCTGCCATGGCTGGCACATCTCACAGGTTCTCATGCTGAAATCTCCTCTTCTACCATCTACTACAAGTCTGCCCACCATACAAAGGGTGCTGCTTGGCTGTTTTAGGCTCATGGCTCCTTAGAATGAACTGTGAAGGTTATGAGAAGAAGAACATTTAATAAGCTTAGTGAGCCTCTTCTCATTGCTTTCTTCTTTCCTTCCAATTAACATTGCGGTCTCACTTCTCCCTTCACGTGGGACAGTCATTTATTCTTTTCTCTGGTGGTTACTCTTTCCAGCCAACCTCTGACAATCTACCTTTCTGATGCCTCTTGCCAAAGGCATCTTACAATCTCAGGGGAGGGATGAAGGTTCACATACATAACATAATACAAGATGGCAGGTATTGAGTACCATCTTCATGGAACAAGTAACAATAAGCACTTAGACAATAATAAATCAAGGGAGACTTCACAAAGGGATGATATTGGGCTATATCTTTAAAAATGTGTGCACACAGGAAAAGGAAGCCTTTCTAAGAGATAAAAATGTACAGGCAAAGGTCAAGGGCAGGGAAAGGCAAGAACTGCAACTAGAATTGTTTGGTTAGAGCCCTGAGGGAAGCAAGGCAAGCCAGACAAATTGAAGCCAGATGGCAAGGGGCCTTGAGTGTCACATAAAGCTATTTGAGCTGTTTTCATTAGGTAACAGCCACTGGAAATATGGGGAGGCCTGAGCTAATCTGAGCAGCATCTCACAAAGATGGATCTTAGAGTCATGTATGGAAGAATTTCATTGGCTAAGAGACCAAAGTCAAGGAAACCAGAACAAAAGCTTTTGAATGGCCTTGCTTGGGCTTTCTAAGGCTTCACACTTTCTAAGTGTGCTGACTCTTTCTAAGTGCCTGACTCTTTATTGTACACCTGTTTTTGTTTTAATGTATCTATTAAACACTTACTAGACATTCACCAGGCATGTCCAATGCCAGACAACAAAGTTGACCTCCATCCTAACACTATGTTTTATTCATCCTGCATCCATAAACTCTAGCAGAACTCAAGTCAAGTAGTAGGCACTTAACAGATACTTGTTGAAGGACTGGTCAACTTCGGTTGCTAAACCATTGTAGCAACAAAGATAACAACAATAACAACAGCATGAGTAATGTCAGAGGTGTTTGAATCAGAGTGCCTCCATCTTGAATAGGGGCTGGGTATAATAAGGCTGAGACCTACTGGGCTGCATTCCCAGACAATTAGGCATTCTAAATCACAGGATGAGATAGGAGGTCGGCACAAGATATAGGTCATAAAGACCTTGCTGATAAAACAGGTTGCAATAAAGAAGCCAGCCAAAACCCAGTAAAACCAAGATGGTGATGAGAGTGACTTATGTTCATCCCCACTGCTACATTTCCACCAGCACCATGACAGTTTACAAATGCCATGGCAAAGTCTGGAAGTTACCCTAGATGGTCTAAAAAGGGGAGGAACCCTCAGCTCTGGGAACTGTACACGCCCTTCCTGGGAAACTCATAAATAATCAACTTCTTGTTTAGCAAGTAATCAAGAAATAACCATAAAAATAGGCAACCAGCAGCCCAGGCTGCTACTCTGCCTATGGAGTAGCCATTCTCTATTCCTTTACCATCTTAATAAACTTGCTTTCGCTTTGTACTGTGGACTCACCCTGAATTCTTTCTTGCGCGAGATGCAAGAACCCTCTCTTGGGGTCTGGATGGGGACCGCTTTCAGGTAACAGTAATAAGAGTGACATCAGGGCATCACTCTGTCCCAGGCAATGGTATAAGTGCTTCACACAAATCAATTAATTTAATCCTCACAATTATCTTATGAGATAAGCATATTACTGTTCCTGTTTTACAGACAGGCAAACTGAGACCCCTAAGAGAAAGGTCTTGCCCAAGACATCACAGATATTAAGTAACAGAGCTGGATCGCAAACCACAGCAACAGATCAGAGCCTATGTTCTCACTCAGTATCTCACACCTCCTTTCATGGGGCTGTCTACTGATTTCTGGACTCTTCACCTTCCACATTCTGCTTTATGTCTAGAATAGCAAGAAGCAGAGATACTCTCCAAGTAAAAGTTCATCCAGACAGCCCACTTAAGAATTTCTGGAAGGGAGGATTTCCCTCCCTCCCACCTCTATGGTCATTATGGTCACTGTCAGCCAAGAGAGGCCATTCAGAGGTACATCCTGAGACAACATGAAGGATCTTTGTGGGAAAAAAGCAGAAGAGATGATGCAGGTGGCCTCCTGGGAAAGTGGAGGCAACCTGAAATTGGATAATGGGGTCCACCCTACACTGGGCATGAGGTAAGGAATTTTACCTTCTCACAATTCTCACCTGTGATGGAAGTATTATTATTCTCAGATAAATTGCCTAATGTCGCACCACTAACAAGGGGCAGGGCAAGTCTGTCTGAACTCTTTCCATCTCACCTCTCTGCCTCTGCCTCTACAATAATGGTGAAATTGGGGTGAGGACAAGAAGGAGAGAAGTGAGGGGTCATTTGTACCCCTCACCAACAAATGAAAAAGCAGACATTTGGAGAAGAATCATTTATATTCTATGAGCATCATCATTAGGGTTTTGTGGGGAAGTGGGGGTTGTTCTGTGTTTTTGCTTTTGGCATGAAAACTAAATCTACCACATATTTTATCAAAATGACATAGCTATTCCTTGTTATAAGAAAACTCACCACACCAAACCATTGCCATTACAAAGTGCATTAAAGTAGCAAATTATTTTTATTCTGCCTAAGTATATAAATTACTAAATTTTTGAGGCTTCTCTAGTAAGTGTCATGCCAATGCTATTATCTTAACCTGGTTCAATGAGCCTTATCTTGAATATCACCTAGTGTTCATAATGGAAATTTTAAAACAAAAATCTGAGGTCAAACAATATGTATTGAAAGCAGACACCTGGCCTGAATGACACAACCTCAGGTCGTTCAGTGATTCTCCTGATTATCTGTATTTTTGAATAGAAGAAAATGGTTTTTCAGATTTGTATTTAAATATCAAAATAACAGTAGTAGAGGCAAATCTCCAAGGCCTGATATTGTCTTAGATCCACAGTTTTTAGTATTTTTCCTTCAACTCTTCAGTGGGATAAAATCATTACAAAAGTCCCCTTAAGATCTCATTAAGAGGAGACCCCATGAAGCTGACCCCACAGGGAGATATAGGTAGGGTACAGCCATCCTATCTCATAAAGAAAGAACAAGCCCTTTTGATGAATCTCAAACTGTCTTCATCTTAGTCCAAATGTAGGAGTTACATGTGAACCAACCAATCGACATCTCACTCCTTATAACTAACAGTGCCTGCAGAGGCTGTTCTTGGGCTCTTTCTGAGGTGTTGACTGAAGTCCTAAGATGCAGAGTCTCTGGTTTCTTCCCAGAGTCCCTGGGCTTGGTGGAGGTCCTGGAATCCAAGCCACAGTGAACTCATGATCCAAGGGTTTACTCACTGGTTCATGCAACAGGGAGAGAGGCCCAGTTCACCTGGGGCTGGTTTGGAGGGTCTAGAAAATATAAAAAGTGAAGCTCTCCTGGCCCACAGAGAAAAGGTAAGAAAGTGTGTCTGGGGAACAGGAAGGCACTCATTAGGATACGGAGCATCTCCTAGGGGCAGAGTGATTTTGATTCAGATTCAGACTGTAACAGCTCCTGGCATCATGCAAATGAAAGCACCAAGGAGTCTTTCTTCCATGAAAACGGGGCAAGTTGCCCTTTTTTTTTCAAGTAGCTAAGCAACAAAAAATATAAATTACATCACAGAATGGTTGCCTAGAAAGAAGAGAAACTATTTGGGCTTCAAAAATGAACTTTCTTTTTGAGAAATATTTAATTGTGTCTAAAAATTTATAGAAAACAAAAGGTAATGAAATGGCCCTAAATCACCTTAGGGTTAAAAATAAGTAAAAATAGTTCTGGCTGAGTGTAACAGTGAGTGTGAGTAAGAGTGTGCCTGTGCGCGCGCGCGCGCGCGTGCGTGTGTGTGTGTGTGTGTGTGTGTGGACATGTATAAATCTGTCTTCTGCCTAGACTGAAAATCATTTGAAGACAGAGACTATGATATTTGGGCTGAATTGAAATCAAATGAATTTCTAATGACAAATTTTGATCTATTCCTCTCCCAGTCTTTCTTTTCTTTAAAATGGCACTATTTTCCCCCTGTCTACATATTAGAAACTCCCATTAACTATAAACTCCTGGAAAATAGAGACCACTTACTTATCTCTTTTGGTTACCTAATTCCATAACATTCACCTAGTTATCTGTCTCTCTCTCACACACACATGCGCGCACACACACACACACACACACACACAACACATTCAAATACTTCATAAGGAAGTCTAGGAAGAGCTAGCTAATCGATACATATTTACTGAAACACTTTTGAGTATGTACAATGTGCATGGAAGTTATGAGAATTTGTAAGAGCTGCACCAAGAAATGAAATGGTTGAATTCTGATTGTGGATTCCTACACCATAGAAAATACTCATAAAAAAATTATAGCACAACTGTTTCATTGGTATAAAAAGAGAAACATAATCTGTGCTGGCTGTTTTCCTACTTCTAAGTGTGTCTATATGTTTTCTTTATTTCAAGCAAACAAACACACATTGAACACCTATATAAAACACTACTGTAAGAAGAAAGACAGTAAAGGGTCAGATAGGTGTCTGCCCTTAACATGTTCAGGAAGAGAAGAATAAGACAATATGGTTGGCAGAAGAGGTGGGAGTGTCAAGACTGAAGAATATGTCCATATTTTGCCACTTTCTTGCTGCGTGACCTCAGATAAGTAGCTTAATATTCCTGAGCTTTAGTTTTATCTTCCGTAAAACAGGGATAACGGTACTTGAAGGTTTTCACAAAACTCATATAAAATCATGAAAGTGATGTGCAATCTATAAAGTACTATTAAATGTTAACTAAAATATAATTTCACAGATAATCAACATATCTACTACATTCACTGAATGGTTGAAACTGGAATTCTGGCCATCCTGGGGTTAAACCTGGCTTGCATTGTGTGTTTTTAAAACTTTGAAAGAGTCTCAACACTTAAAACTCAAATTTAGATTCCATTAAATAAAAATCTGAAAAATCTTACAGCATTGGACGCACATTATTAATAACAATAATGGGCTAAAATTGAGTAGCAATGCTACTTTTAGATGGAAGAGTTATCTTTTAGTTAGCCACAGTCTCCACTATTCCCTTTTGGCTTATGTAAGTTAGAAATCACTACAATAAAAGAGAGATGGGGTAAGTGCAACAAAAGAAGGGGAACTGGCAGGGAGATGGGACTTCTGCATATTCAAGAGAACACTAGCAACTGGAAGGGCTTGGAGAGCTGCCTGGTAAAGGTGATATTTGAGGATGTGAGAATGAGGCGAGTTTAAAAGAACAGTTTGAAAGAAGGTACAGTGGCATGGGAATTGGTAGTGATAACCACTATCAAATTAAGAGAAGGGTATGTGGAGAGTACTCATTTATTTATCCAATGTGTATTGAGAATCTAAGTGCCAGGCTCTGGACATCAAGAAACAATAGACAGATACTTGAACCTGCCTTCTCTGGAGCTCATAGCCTAGTGAGGAAGACACAAAAGTGGAGGTAACAAAGTTGAACAAAATCCCTTTGGGGGTCTTTGATGACAACTAGGAAAAAATCACAGTATTGCTCAATCTTTACTAACTAGACATGCTATTCAGGAGTTAGGATCATGAACCATAGAGAAGAGTCCAATTTTACCGTTAATCCCCTGTACACTCATCAACAGCTGGCCATGCTCATACACACCACTCTTTCCTAACTCTAACAAATAGAGATAAAACCAATATCAGCTACTTCCCAGTTCCTTTTGGATGATAATAGTAGAAAATAGAAGTGCAGATGCTTCTTGACATGTGAGGGGATTGCATCCCAATAAACCCATCATCATAAATCAAAAATGTCCTGTTGAAAATGTATTTAATACACCAATAAACTCATTGAAAAGTCAAAAAATCATAAGTTGAAGTATCGTAAGTCAGGGACCACCTGTAAAATTATTTGCAATGTAAAATATGTTATGTAAGTGTATGCTGTTAGCATTACCATTTCTCTGCTCTCCAGGGATCACTTACAGCATAGGCAGTAGGGACAATCTCCTAACAGGGAAACAGCAAGAGTAATGCTTCATAACTGTTCATGGGTGATGGAAGACAAGGGCAGAATGAGTGTGAGCACAAGCCTTTAAACTACACAGACTTGAATTCAAATCCTGTGTTCACCATTTGTTACCTGAATAACTGGGCCTGTTTCCTCACTTATAAATTATATCTAATAATATCTCTTTCCTAAGGCTGTCATGAGAATAAAATTAGAGTTAGCACAGTGCCTGGTTCATAGTTATTATTTGATAAATGGCAATAAAGATTGTTTTACTTACAGCTCAACTATCTCAAGATGATAGAGGTAGCGTTGCAGAATCAAGGAATCATAGAACTAGAATGACCTCAAAAATTGTATTTTCTCTTTCTGAGACTATGGTCTTTCACATCTTGTTCTAGCATTTCTTACTCCAAAAGTTGTGATCCGACTTATTCATTAAAAGAATTCCTCCTCCTAAATGTAAGATCATTTTGTCTTATTTTATTCCTCTGTAGAATAACAGGACTAGAGAAAAAATCTGGATAAGACCAAGATCTAAAATGACCAAATGTTCTGATTTGCCTGGAACCAAGGAGTTTCCCAGGACACTGCATTTTCCATGCTAAAATGAGGACAGTCCTGGGGAAACAGACAGTTGGTCACTGTACCTCAGTTAGTGGTGCCATGTTTTGACCTCTGGTTAAGCTAGAAAAGCCAAAAACTGTACAACCTCAGTACATTCTATTTCTTACCGTATACAAATACTGACAACTAGGAGTGGTAAGAAAACTAGAAGCAAATGCCCCAGGTGGACCAGTGTATGCACTGCCACCTTTCTCCCTTAATTAAACCTGGTCTTTACATTGCCAGGACTCTCTGGCTTGGTAGTTATAGTCACCGTGGAAGAAATGTGGCCTTCCCGTTGTAGCTATATATCTGATGCTATCTCAGAATCTCACAACTTGATGTGAAGTGATTTTTGAATGAACAGTATCTATAGTGAAAGGCTTGTTTTTGTGTCTTGTCTTATGCAACCTGGATCAGAACAAAAACATGGCACCTTTTTTACTTCAGTGACTGTATGTGAATTTTGTCTCCACTGATTTAGGCCAAAGTTCTCTTGTCAATGTATTTGTCTGTCTGATTAACGGCAGTCCTCTCTTCTTTGGCTAGGATGCCCAAAGCACATTACTGAGTAGCTTGTGAACCAAATAATGATGGCTGAAGGTATGAGCTCTCTGATAAATTTGCACATATCAGACAAAATGGGCTTACATTACCTATATCAGAAAAAATGGGCTTACATTTAGGAGGAGGAATTCTTGTAATGAATAAGTAGGATCACAACTTGCAGCTGTTTAACTTTATTTTTCATGAACTTAAAATAACTTAGGAAACTTTTTTGCTTTGGAATTGTCTTTCGTTTTTCTCTCAAAGCCTTGAAGTCGGTCAGGACAATGTCTGAATACAGAGAGAACGAGAAACATTCCCTCTACGATGCCCCCAATTCCTTTGAGGGTTATAGGAAATAAGCCAATAATTTCCAGTGGTCAGTCAGTTTTTCCAGTAATTTAAATGACTCACAGTGGTATAAACCAGGTCCTGTTGAGAAGCATTACACCATCCCCTTGTGATGATAAGCAGAAGCTCTTTAGTGAAGTTGTACAAACTCAACTTTCAGCAGCATCAGCCACATAATCAGATGATCTTGAAGAGCCATCTTGATTTTTAAAACATTGAAAAATAGGTCTTTAAAAAACATGGAAGATTTAACAAATGACAAGCTGGAAAAATAAATTGTAACACATATGACCTACAAGTGATCTGGTTTCCTTAATATATAAAAAGCTCTTATAATTCAACAAGAAAAAGCAGATTAACCATCCAATAGAAAAATGGATAAAGATCACAAGCAGGCTTCTTCTTAGAATATACAAATGGCTTATAAGATTTTGAAAAAGATGTTCAACTTCATTAAAAGCAAATGTTCAAAACCTATAATAAAGCAATAGTATAAATTTATTTTATTATGATAAATTACATTGAAACATTTTGAGATAGCAAAAGAATAAACACATATTAAATGTTCATCAGTTTGAAATTGAATGGTACAAGAATGGAGATTCAGTATTCCTTCCTTATGAGGATCCTCTCAAAACCCTTTCTTGTTGTAAGAACAGACTTTCACAGACCATTGGTTGGAGGAGTGATGTTTCCTTATTTGACCTCCAGAGCTGCTAAATAGGATGAAAAAGGTCTGTGTTTGCAGACAGGACAATATTGTTGGCAGGAATGCTGGGGTGTCCAAGACTAGAGGATGAACCTAGGTTCTGCATTTTCTTGCTCTGTGACTTGTGAACAAGTCACTTAACATTCCTGAACTTAAGGTTTCTCCTTTGCAAAATAGGGATAACAGCACCTCACAGGGTTTTCATGAGACTCTGATAAAATCATGAAAGTGACTTGCAAACTGTAAAGCACTATAACATGTATATTTTAAAAATTTCACAATTAGCATATCTACTTGTTAACATATTAACATATCTACATATTAACAATGGGATTGTTAATTCTGCCAGACTTTATAGATCATCCGTGGCCATCCTGGGATCAAATCTGGCCTGCACCATGTCTTTAAAGCTTTGAATTATCAACATTTCAAACTCAAATTTCAGGGTTTTAAAAAGTCTGGAAGATCTGACAACATACTGCCCACATTCTAGCATGGCAATAATAGACTAGAATTGAGTGGTGGAGCCTCTTTTAGACGGGATGTTTACCCTCCACTTGGCCACAAGTCATCACTACTCCCTTTTGTCTTATGCTTCACTCATTTACACTTCCTGTCTGTAGGCCTTTGAATTGCAACCCTGCAGTTAGTTTGTCACCATAGTTTGCAAAAGAAATCACTGCAGACCAGGAAAGTAGGGTCTTGGTCACCCCCACCCAGCAAGCACTGAAACCCACCAGAAGAATCTTTATGGCCACTTACTCTTCAATTCATGTGTGCCTCACACACCACAACTTTGAAGCTCTGAGCCCACAGTCAAGCTCATTTATTTTCTACAAAACAAGAGAGAAGATCCGTTTGTCCTGTAGCTTGATCTGGGCTCCCTCTTACTAGCTCCCTCTTGAAAAGCTAGATTTCAAATGAGAATAATCCTCAATTAAAACCCTGTCTTGATTTCCCTTTTTGGCCACTCTTGCCCACCCCAGTGTCCGTTAGGCAGTTCCTCTGCTACAGTTTCCGTGACTGTGTGCTCACAGGCCTAGTCACTTTATAAGAAACTTCACTTCAGCAGGATGTGAACACCACAGGGGAAACGGTCTGGCAGAATTTATCCTGCTAACAGTATTAAAACTGGTTCAGCAGAAATAGCATTTGACCATTGACCAATAGGATTACTGGGTATATACCCAAAGGAATATAAATCATTCTGTTACAAAGATACATGCATGCGTATGCTCATTGCAGCACTATTCACAATAGCAAAGACATGGAATCAACCCAAATGCCCATCAATGATAGACTGGATAAAGAAAATGTGGTACAAATACACTATGAAATACTATGCAGCCATAAAAATGAATGAGATCATATCCTTTGCAGGGACACGGATAGAGCTGGAAGCCATTATCCTCAGCAACTAATGCAGGAACAGAAAACCAAACACTGCATGTTCTCACTTATAAGCGGGAGCTGGACAATGAGAACACATGGACACAGGGAGGGGAACAACACATACTGGGACCTGTCGGGGCAAGGGAGTGTGGGAGGGAGGGAGGGAACACATCAGGAAAATTAGCTAATGCATGCTGGGCTTAATACCTAGGTGATGGGTTGATAGGTGCAGCAAACCACCATGGCACACATTTACTTATGTAACAAACCTATGCATCCTGCACATGCACCCCAGAACTTAAAATTTTTAAAGAAACAACAAAAAACTGGTTCAGGCTCTGAGTGAGCTTCAAGATACTCCTAGATGAAATTCTTCTCTATCCCATGGGAGCCAACAGACCCACAAGCAAAGGAACTCGTGTGTGTGTGTGCGTGTGTGCGTGTGTGTGTGTGTGTGTGTGTGTGATTTATGAATGAGAATTACACAATAAGTAAGCAAATTAAACCATATCTGGACAACTCTTTTGCCTGAGAAGTATGATGTTAAGAGGTAAATGGGTTGACTCAACACTGAAAATGAAAGTCGGTGATTTATGAATGCGTTCATTTTCTTCTTCATGCATTCAACATTAACTGGGTGGTTACATTCCTGGCATTTGCTAAGATTCCTGGATAAAAAAAACAAGCCCAGTTCTTGGTCCCAACAATCTTACTTGACCGTACCATTAACCACCTGTCCAGTTAAACAACTTAACCTCTCTTTTTTTCTCAATTCCTTTACTTTTATAATGGGCATAATAATACTCACTTCGAGAGATTCTGTTAGCCTAAATGAGGTTTGTATAGGTTACAGTGGCTTAAAATATATCAACTGCAGAGATTTAATAAAATCTGATCCAAGCAGAGCCCATCACTTTACAGATAAGCCTATGAGGTCCAGAGGAATCAGATTGCTAGCTCAGGTGGGCAGCAAGGTGTTGACTGAGCCAATTCCCAACACTACCACAGTCACTGCCATCACCAGAGCCCAGCAGTTCTGTTGATACCCTAAGCTACACTAGGATGCCTACTCTGATTTCAGTCCAATCACTATATAAATGACTATTGCACAATTTTGTATTTTTTAGACATAATTTTGATAACTTTAAGATAAATGCTTTTCCTTGTTATCCTATGTATTTTATTTTTATCCATTTAAAAACATTAATTTGAGAAAGAGTTAACTATCTTCTCCAGATTGCCAAAGGAGTCCATTGCACCAAAATTTGTAAGAAATTATTGCCTTTGAGAAGTGGTTTTGAACTGGAAACAGTTTTGCTTCTGGCCCCTGGGGATATTTCACCATGTCTAGGAAGAGTTGCTACTGGCATGTAGCAACCAGGGATACTGCTAAACTTTTGACAATGCACAGGACAGCTCCTTCGTAACAAAGAATTATCGTACCCCAAATGTCAATCATACTGAGCTTCAGAAACCCTGTTTTGGAGCAGTATACAGCAAAAGGCCAAAAAGTTGCTAGACTTTGTATTCTCACCTAATTTCCAAGTACATTCATCTTTTTTGATCCGCTTGATCTCCCTATGAGTATTCACACAAGTGAAGTGGTTTTATATGTTTTTGTTTATAATTATTGCACCTACCCCAATTTGAGCAAGTATTACAAGTTCCCCTGGATCAGGGAGCCAGAAGCTCTGTGCAAGGCAGAGTTATGAGTGCTGCTGAATTTATTGGGCTAACATCTTGGAAATGTAAGTGAGAAATCTGTCCCATAGGCCAAAGCAAGATGGTCCATGAGCCCTTTGCTTAGCTAGCCAGGCCTTGCATGGACTGCATGGCTATTTGAGTGGTTTCCCTTAGGGTGACCTCACTTAAAATGTAGAACTCCTTTTCAAGGCTAAAAGAGCAGCAGGAAAGAAGGAGGAGGTGAGGGGATAAAAACATTTTCTCCACCTGGGGACCAGTAATAGCAACACAAGGTACATATGAACCATCTTCTTCTTCCTTCTTTCCTCTTAGTAATATATTCATCTTCAAAGGAGAGTCTTTCATGTGTTCATTCTTTTTTTTTTTTTTTTTTCAGATGAAGCTTCATTCTTGTCATCCAGGCTTGAGTGCAATGGCATGATCTTGGTACCCTGCAACCTCTGCCTCCTGGGTTCAAGCGATTCTCCTGCCTCAACCTCCCAAGTAGCTTGGATTACAGGCGCCCACCACCCCCGGCTAATTTTTGTATTTTTAGTAGAGACAGAGTTTCACCATGTTGGCCAGGCTGATCTCGAACTCCTGACCTCAGGTGATCCACCTGCCTCGGCCTCCCAAAGTTCTGGGATTACAGGCATGAGCCACCATGCCCAGCCAGGTGTTGACTCTTAAAAATGAATTACTCAAATAGAAAGAACAAAGGTTGAAAACGCCAGGAATTTTTTCTAAAGCAGAACAAAGGGTAGAAGTCAAAATAGCATTTTTTAAATTCTTGTAGGAGAAGCCTTGACAAATAGCTTGTCTTTTCTTAGCACATTTTACGTTTCCCATCCAGGCTGTGAGTGACATTCTTTTCTGCTTGGAGTTTCTGAAAAACATCTGGCCTGGTCTGGCACAGACCCGGCTTGCTGGTGAATCTTTCTTCCTATGTAATAGCAAAAATAGGATAAGTAACTGATGTTCCAGGATGATATAGGTGCAAGAGTGGATCAGGGATTTCCAATGGGTAAAGAATTCAATTCCAAGTGAGCTGGTTAACTCCTGAATTCCCAGTCAACAGTATAATACTTAGCACTGGGAAGATATTTAATAAATATTGTTAAATGTATGAATTCACTAATGGATTAAAAAAAATCACAACTACCCTTTGAAGAAAGATGTATTTCTCATTTGCAGATAAAAAAAAAAACTCAAAGAATTTAACAGTGGTTGCCTCAAATTATAGAATTGCCAATAGACTAAGCCAGGACATGGGCTCCTAGTCATTTGACTGGAGATACCTTATTCTAGACACTATTTTTTTTCTCTTAGAGCTTTACCTAAGAGGGATTTAGTTTCAGTATACCTTACATGGGCTAAAGAATAATCTGGCTGGAATATCAGTCTCACCGCTGACCATTAGCACTGATGAAAACAGACAGTTTGGAAAATACTACATTAGGCAATATTAAACAGGTTTCTTTATTATGGGGCTTATTAGAGCTTCTAATATGCCAATACATGGCAGAAATAGACAGCAACATTCCCTAAACCTAACCAAGTAGTGCATTTTAGACATAGCGTAGCACCAACGTTGCACAGTACTTTTGAGAAATATGGGATAACCATTTTGCCTGTCTTATCTTTGCTACCTGATTGGATGGTGGCCAAAATTGAGAAATTATCTCACTTCATCTTCGGAACAACTAACCTAGTGAGGCAGCTGTTCACCACCATCTGAGTATGAGATATCAATTTAGAGCACTTCAGAATGAAGACCCAGCCCTGTGGTTATTTAGCTATTTAACCATTAGCTAAAACAAAACAAAACAAAACAACAAACAAAAGCCTGTGCTTGTTTCAAACCTACTCAGGAATTGAGCAGCTCACTGAAAGTTTGTGCGACGCCAGAATGCGAGTTCATCTTTGCTTTCTGACTGCTGGTGTAACTTGAGCCAAAACAAACCTTGATAAGATACATATGAACAAATTAAAGTTAAAATAATCTCTCTCCTATCCCGCCCTCTATGAATAAATGTGACATGAAGTACATTCAAGATGTTGTCCGGATGATCATCTATAGGACCTTGTTGGGGTACACATGTGGATTGTTTTTGGTCTAATTATTTTGTCTCTGTTGTAGATATAGGTCATCTTTTAAGAGATATGAAAATGAAACTGATATAATGATATCAGTTAATTGATGAGATAACTGATATAGTGACTTTCTGCCTACCTACTTGGCTCTAGGACTTTCAAGAAAATAAAAGTGACGTTCCATGACATATGTATCAACTCAGAAAAGAAAAAAAATCCAATAAATATTATATATAGACCAAACTATTATGTAGGTTCTATTTTTTTCTTATTATAAAATGGGATTGAAAGTTATATCACTTCGCCACTAGAACTCCAATGCACTATCCATTGCTCCACAGAGCTACCTAAAAGTTACATCACTTCAGAGTATAGTCTTTCTTTAGTTGTCATGTCATGGTTGCTGTATAGCCTTTGGAGGCAAATATTTGAGAAATGGGTATCCAGCTGCCTAAGGCAATGCTGAAAATGCCCCAAATACACAAATCCACTGCAGGGGAAGAGTAATAATCAAAAGTAGCATTAATGAGGTATTTTAGAGTATGAAGAGGTTGTAAAATTCAGAGTGCTCATTTAAGCATGCCTAGTGTAGTATGGTGGTTAAGAACTCAGATCAGGGAGCTAAACTCCCAGGTTTGAAACACAGTTCTGTTCTTATAACCTTGAACAAGTTATTTAAACTTTATATGTCTCAATTTTCCCTCTGCAAGATGGAATAAGAGTAGAACCTACCTTAGGTGATTATGAAGACTCAGTATGTGTTAAGCGCATAGAACGGGGTTTGGTGCAAAGTAAGCTTTCAATTAATATTAGCAATAACGCCAGGTTTGGTGGCTCACGCCTGTAATCCTAGCACTTTGGGAGGTCGAGGTGGATGGATCACGAGGTCAGGAGTTCAAGAACAGCCTAGCCAACATGGTGAAACCCCATCTCTACTAAAAATACAAAAAGTAGCTGGGTGTGGTGGCATGTGCCTGTAATCCCAGCTACTGGGGAGGCTAAGGCAGGAGAATTGCTTGAACCCAGGAGGCAGAGGTTGCAGTGAGCTGAGCTCACACCACTGCACTCCAGCCTGGGCTACAGAGCAAGACTCCATCTCGGGGAAAAAAAAAAAAATAGCAATAACCAGGATTACTAGCTGTGTGTCCACAAGAAGTCAGTTCACTCCTGTAGGTCTTATTTCCTCCATCTATAAAATTGAGATCCTCATAATTACATTGCAGTACTATAGGAAAGATCAAGTAAGACAAAGGAGAGAAGCTAAAGTGTAAAACCTCACTTCACAAACATTAGGAAATTATTTTCTTTCCTCATATGATATGATCTTTATTCATCTCAGTGAATGGTATTTCCTCTTCATCTGTAGGCCTTAGTTTTCCTCTCTGGACACTGCTGTTTCTAGTGTACAAAGCGGTATGCACTTGATGTGTGTGCTAAGGCAGGAACCCCTGGTCCGTCATCAGCACTTTGCTTCTCAGAGAATGGCACCATTTGCTATCCAGGGGTCGGAGCCAGAGTGCCTGCATCCAGTTGATGGGCACTTCCTTTTGGCTCACCCCAACGTACAGACCTAATCCCTCTACTTCTCCATGTCCTCAGCCATTATCGTAATTCATGCCATCATCATTTGTCAGTAATAGCCTCCTATACTCCAACTTCCATACTTGTCCAGTCAAATCCATTCCATCCTCCCCAATAGAAAGGGAGAATTTTTTAAAAATGTAATTTTACTCATGTCCCCTTCCAGCTCAAAGTCCTCCAATTCTCATATCCCTGACCAGAACATGTTCCTTACAAGGCTTTGCATGATTGGAACCCTGCCCATTTCTTCAAGTTTATCCCACACCATTCCAATCTCCCCAACTTCCCCTCCCTGCTATATTACTTTCTACACCCCTGTCCCATAGCTGTTTTCTCAGTGATGTGAATACCCTTAAGCTCTTCCCTACCTCAGGACCTTTGTACTTGCTGTTCCTTTCCCCTGGCTCTTTGAATGGCTGCTGACTCCTTTACGTCTTTCATACCTCAGCTCAGATTTCACTTCCTTAGTGACGTCCTTCCTGACGGCCCCCAAATGCTTGTTTTCGTAGTATTTACTGCATAGTTCTTATGAGGTTTAAATGAGAAATGCCTTTAGAACAGTGCTTGGCACATAAGAACTGCTCATTAAAAGTTGTGATAATTATCATCATCATATCATCCTCCTTCTCTGCCACAGTAGCCTATTAAATTGCATGGAGAACACTAACAGGAGTGTGTGACTGTGATGTGTGTTTACTTCCTTTCTTTTTGTCTATCTGATTATTAGTTCCCTAAGGGATAGATCTTGTTTCTCTTTCCCCCGGTGTACCCTCACCTAGCCTCGCAGCAAACTGCCAGTCACAGAGCCGGCTCTCAAACATTTATTGAAGGAATGAATGAAAGTGAGTGCCTCTTGGCTGTCAAAGGAGTTCAAATTGCTAAAACCCCACAAAGGCCCAGGGCAGTTTCACCATTAGGGCAGACCTGCACCTGGTTCCAGAGAACAGCACTGCATATGCTCCCAGGCAATTGCATTTGCGTGTCTCAAACACTTGCCTGAAACCGGTACAGAATTTCATCTGATTTCTGATGACTCCCATCCCTCCTTCTTCCCTCCCATCCCTTGATCTCCCTCGCATTTTCCTGTTTGTATTCAACGCGTCCCTGCTTGTGCGAGAAAAGCAAAGAATCCCACAAAACTCTTTTCTTTATCCTCTTTCCAGAAAAATGGGCCAATTCACAGCTGCAATGGTTGGGAGAATTTCCTGTCTGGGAGTCTGGAAACTGCCAAGAGTGGAAAGCTGCAGCCAGCCAGCGAGGCCTCTGTTGTCACTGGCCCAAACAACAACAAAAACAACCGCAACAACAACAACAACAACAAAACATGCCACGTGTGCACTGGCATATACAAACACGCCCACAGAACCAAACCAAGCGGACAAGGCTTCAAGGAGAGCTTCTGGGCGGCTCATTCCCGCGGCGAGGCATATCCCTTGGCATGGTGCCACTGCAGCCCAGCTCCCAGCCCCCCCGCCATCTGTCATCAGCGCTCTGCCTACTGTAAGTGTGCCGACACAGTACACGGAGGCTAACAAGTAGCAAATGGAGGGGAAGAAAAAACAAAGCCACTGCAGTCAGTGGGAGAGGTGGCTAGGGCTTTGACATAAACTGACAAAAAGCTGGGAAATTTAAACTGAAAGTTTGCCCTCAAGACTTTCAGCTGTGAGGGTTGGACTGGGGAGGAGGGAAGGGTGTACGGTGAGGGAGGTTGGCAGGGAGCAGTCTGCAAAAAAGCTGGTGAGATAGAGTTAAGTAGGCCGGCTTTTTCCAGACTCTATGAATAATATGAGACATTACTTAAAATCCATTCTGACTGTTCATAGATTGCCCAAGAAGGCTTTCCCTTACAAGAAAAAAAAAAAAAGGAACTAAAAAAAAAAAAAAAAAACGCAAAACTTTTTCCAATAGAACTTCTGAAGGAAACATTTAATCAGGACACTGCGTGTAATATAATACAGGTTGCTAATTTTCCTATCAAATAATCACCTCCAGAGCAATTAGGATAAATTGTCCTTACCTTATTGTTAAATTAGTTGTCAGCTTTATGTTGTCATTTAAGGAATCGTTGGGGAAAAATCAGGGTATTTGTTATTTTGCAACGTTTTTTCACTATAACAAAAAATATTTTTTAAAACCTAATTGTCTACCAAAAATCTACAGCAGCAAAAGAACCTAAATCGGCTAAGATTCCTGCTAAACTGTGTCTAGAACTTTTGTGTGAGTGGCACAGACTGTCTGCATGCACTTGGATGGATGATTGTCTTGTGGTTTTCATTCCTTGTCATTAAATGCAGAGACTCTTTCCCTTAAAATCTTAAATATAAGGACCCAGACTACCAGGCATTTGATGATCCTCTCACAAGCTTGGCATTGCTCTATGTTAGAGACGGAGAAACTAAGGCTAAGAGAGTTTAAAATTACTCAAAGTTAAAATGGCAGAACCTCAGGATCTTCGGACTTGAGGCCCTACCCTTTTGTTTTAGACAGTGAGATTCTGCTAAGCTGCTACTATTTCACTTTGCCCTTTTAGTTCTCGCCACAAAGCCACAAATGCTATAAATGCTAATTCCCACTATTCAAAAAATATTAATTAAGCAAGCAAAATTGCAGTAAGTTTTAACTAATACGGCCAGCAACAAACCAGCTCTCATTCTGTTTGTTTGCCAGTTAAGTGTTACTATTTGATCATTTTAATAGCTGATTACTAAAAAAATTAAACTCTGCAAAAGGAGTTTCAATCCCCAAACAATTCTGATTGACAGCATGGTAGCTCAGCTCATTATCCCTAATCAACAGAGTAAACATGTATTTACAAATAAAAACATATACCAGATGTATTTTCATCCACAAGGTGATGCTGTCAACTAAAATAGGGAATGTGCACCAATGTACGGCATCCACCATTTTCAAGACAGGTTTGCCACAAACCCTCCTGCTTCGTGATTCACAGATGAAAGCCTGTATGCATGCAGGTGGTTGTGATATTACCATGTTTACAAAAAAAGGGTGAGGTACTTGAAAAGCACCAGTTCTAAAGTCAGAAGAATGCTCTTTGAGTGCAGCTGCTACCATTTCCAGGCTTATACTGTTATGCCTCAGTGTCTTCATCTGTAATATTGTAATAATAACGGCACCTACACAATTGTTTTAGGTATTAAATGAGATAGCAGATAGGAAGGTGTTTTATGTATAGTAATATACTAGTGTAGTTTCTTTTTCAGTATTCCTCCATTTCCTTCAAATAACCTTCTGTTTCTCCCAGATTGATGAGAGTTTAAGAGGAGATATTTTATCTCCCTCTTCCCATGCTCCCTTCAGAAGGTAAAAGTCCATTTAAAAGGACTGATAATATTCTAGAGACCAGCCTAGCACTTTAAATCAAAAACCCATTTTGAGTTTCACCTGAGAGGAGATGAGGACATAGAAATAGTTTTTATTTCCCTTTCCTGTGGAATTGAACAGAATTTTCAAAAACCCTACACAAAGCTCTGCTAGGAGCATAATGATTCTGCAGGAAATTTCCAAACTGTGCTCCATAGATGTCTATGAGTGAACAATGTAAATTAACATCTTATATCAATGCTCATAACATCCATCCATTGGTTCATTAAACTCATATATTGAGTGCCTATTTGTACAGGACAGTTTGTCAGGGACTTGGGTGATAACAGGGAACAAATATACTCCATGTGAGCAAGTTACATGGTGGTCCTTTCAGTAGGCTTTCCTACTGTGTTAGGAATAATCTAAGTTTTTAGAAGTGTTATTGAATTTTGAGAATATTGTTTAAATGTTAGAGGAATGCATTCTTGTAACGGAGCAAAAAAAATAAGAGTTTAGGAACCCACTTCTCTTCCTGACTTTACCAACATATGAGGCCTTGAATAAAACACTCTCCTGCTTTGGGTAGCTCCTGTACTTTCCTGACATTTAAGGCTTTTCAAGCTCCTCTCGCTTTGTTTTCAGAGACAGTACAGTAGTTTCACCATGAAATATTTGACTAAGGGTTAAATCTGGAACCAGCATTTGTTTCACTCTTTTAAAGTTTGTCTTTATCAAATAGAGTGTCATGGCAGGAAGCTGGGTAAAGATACAGTCCAACAGAGGTCCTTGGAGAGGTAAAATGAAGCAGGACTTAAAAAATAGTCTCCCAAATCCTTTACTAAGCTGAAGTGTCCACAAGGGCAAGGTTTTAGGATGCCTCATTCACCACTATTACCTTCTCTCTCATCTCTACAATGGTGCTGGTCCATGGCCAACTCTCACAAGTATTTGTAGAACAAACACATGAATGAATCAGCTTATGATGACAAATAATATCACAGCATAAAACAGCTGATATAAAGTAAAATATCAGCTGATGATAAATCCTCCCAACTGCTTTATCAAATCTTTTGGAAACTTCCCTGAAAAGATGACCATGATTCTACATGGATACAGTTGCCCTTGATGCTGAAGCAGCATCTCAAATCCCCTCAATGGTCTCCATTCATAAATTAGAAGATTGGGATAGGGTTGAAAAGGCACTTTCTAGAAGCTTCAGATCTTGGATTCTGACTCTGGCTTTTCCCTAGCTAGCTGTGTGGCCTTGAGCAAATCGTCTACTTCTCATGACCTAAGTTTTCTCATCTATAAACAAGAGGTTTGGGTTTCTAAGACTCCTTCCAGCATTAGGAATTTAGAAAGAAAGTGGAAAATTATACACATGTGGGCATTTTAAAATTAGAGTTTCACCATCCAAAATGCCTCTGTTACTTTATTAACTCCATTCCTGTTTTAAACTTGGAAAATTGGCAAAACGAATGCAACTGTTTCAGAAGTTAATGTTGTGTTGGATCAACACAGCAAATAGACACTTGCCTAGAGAGTAATACATTTGCCAGAAATGGGCTGGCGCTGAAAACCATTGCCCTGAAAAGCCCTCTCCAGCCCGCCACTCACATCTTTTTCTTCCCACAACTCAACACCCAAAGACCAACTTGAACTGAGGTTAGAGGTACAAAGCAGCAGTAGCCTCTCACCTTAGGACTAAACATTGAGTCATCTCCATTGATAGTCCAACCATAACCTGGAATTCAGTGTGAATAACTGATCTTCAGCCTTAATCCTTCATCCTGAGTCTGGGGAAAATTGGAAAGAGTGGTTTATTCATGCATGTATCCCCAAGTACTTACTGAGTTTCCAGGAAGTGCCATCACCCCTAACTCATTCCTGACTTGCACTGGACTCCTTCCCACTTACTTTCCCATACCCCCATGCTGTCCTCGCACACTCACCTATTACTCAACTCCACTCTTCTCAACAATAAACCTTCTGTTGGCTGCTTCACACAGAAACCTTGACTGCATGTAGATGACCTGGCCCACCAAGTTTGAAAACATTGAAATGTCCAAGACCTTGTTAATATGATTTCTTTGGGCCAAGTGAGTTGGGCTTGCCACCTGCAGGAAAAGGCCAGGTAGAAAGAGTTCAGCCCCAGTAGGCACTAAGCCACAGACTAAGGATCATGATTGCATTTCTTCAGAGATTACAAACTGCCCAAAGAATGTCTCACAGTGGCAAGGATTCGTTATCTGAAATGCGACTATTATGGTCCTGTAAGTACAGATGCTGACATGTTAATGTTTTCTAATAGGTGTTACTATTATGGGCTAACAGGATCCCTGGAGCCATTAGAACCTTAACCTTGTTAGACCTGACATAGTTTGGCTGTGTCCCCACCCAAATCTCATCTTCAATTGTAGTTCCCATAATTCCCATATGTTGTGGGAGGGAGCCGGTGGGAGGTAACCGAATCATGGGGGTGGTTATTTTCATGCTGTTCTTGTGATAGTGAGTTCTCACGAGATCTGATGGTTTTACAGGTGGCATTTCCCTCTTTGCTCGGCACCTCTCCCTATTGCCGCCATATGAAAAAGGAGGTGTTTGCTTCCCCTTCCACCATGATTGTAAGTTTCCTGAGGCCTCCCGAGCCATGCTGAACTGTGAGTTAATAAAACCTCTTTCCTTTATAAATTACCCAGTCTCCGGTATGTCTTTATGAGCAGTGTGAGAACAGACTAATACAGAACCCTCATCCCCATCAGGAATGAGAACCAAACCTTGAACTCTTGCCAGTAGCTATTTGACATCATTGATTCCTACTGCACACCTAGATTTTGGAATATCACCTATGCCTGTGTTCCCTGCTCATCCATCAGAAACTCCATTAAAATCTTCTTAGACCTCTGATTCTAACTGCTCCTATTTTACCTAGTATTGATTATCATGTTCAAGAGCTACTCAAGGAAGCCAGCTAAAACTGGTTAAGCATCATGCCCAGAGTAGCAGAGCTCACATGGATAGAGTCCAAGGCCAGTTTCAAGCAGGCACACCTAAAGTAGTGTATCTGCATGAAATGAAATCTTACGGAAATCCTGCTGGGACCACGGTATCCACCATCAAATCCAAAGGGCAGAGCAAATACAGGAACGAGTGAATAAACACTGAGATTAGTAGCAGGATGGATCCGCAGCAAAACAGAGCACACATCAATGAATAATTCAGAGTAAGTGGTGAGAACTAAAACTGTAGACCTAAGTGAAAGATGTCCCCTTGTGAACCATATAGTACATGGGACAGGCAGGGAAGCTTTAAAAAAGACCATGATGTTTGTAACACAAAGGATAAATGCTTGCTGAAATAGATACTCCATCTTCCATGATGTGGTTATTACACATTGCATGCTTGAATCAGAACATCTCATGTACCCCAAAAATATATATACCTAGTATGTACCCACAAAAATTAAAAATTAAAAAAAAATTTTAAAAACATGAGAATTGGACCTGCATACTCTTCGGGACTTGCTTTTTTTTATGTGAGACTGAACTTTCTTAGAGCATCTGTAGATATGGCCTCCATTTCATCCAGGCTGTTCTATTTCATTGCTAAGCCAGGCTAAAATTTTACTTATTTCATACTGATAATGTATTTGGTTTGAATTTGTTTCACTTTTTATGGAACAAAATTTAAGATAATCATTAGAAACTCCAATTAGGGTTTGATAATACCGTACGTATTTATTTGTATTTCAGGAGATGGGGTAAAAAAAAGTTTTCATCTACCAATAATGTAATCTAGAGAAACTAAGGCTTTGTTTCATAGGCTCATTCTAAGTGAGAAACAAAATAGTACAGAGAGTATTTGCCTCCCCAATCCCCTTACAAATGAGGAATACGGAGAATAAGGCAGAAAAGCTAACAATTTGCCCTAGGTCACACAGGTAGCTAGTGTTGGAGTTAAGAAAGTTCATTTCACATGGCTCCAAGTAAGCAGGAAAAGACTTTCCCAATTAGTATTGTTTCTCTGGTTTACTTGGGCAAGCTAGTCAGTGGTCTTCGTTTCCAGAAACATTTGTGCAAAGCATATCATCCAGTCTCAAACGCAGCCAGATTCAGCAAGATCAAAGACAAAGTTAAAGGAGGACATGCCACACAAAGAAAACGAAGTCAGCCTAGAGATTTTACCTCCGTAGAGACTCATCACAGCCCCAGCTGCTTCTTGGTCAACCAGAGACTCTGGACCTCAGGAAGCCACACCCCCCAAAAAACAGCAATTCTGCTACACGTGTACAGCCCTGTGACTTAAAGCTGGTGAAATCACACTGCTTGGTTGAGTGGCTTTGTCAGTTTGTGCCCCAGCTTTCTCTATGCTTTGGTTTCTTCTTCCAGCCCCTAGCTGCAAAGAACCATAATGCAATTTTGCAGAAACTAAGCAAGAAGGAATACATTAGTTTAGTCACTTGGAACTGCTGCCAAAGGAATAGTATCTTCAACTGATTGCCAGCCAAGTCCCTTATGAGATTGTGTAGACTCTTACAATATTGCTAGGGGAGCGAAACAAAGGGGAAGAGAAAGAGAAGAGCCTTGCTTATTGTAATTTATAGTCCATTGTTATGGGAAGCTTCTTATGTTACCAGAAAGCTGGTGTCTGGGGTTTTCCTCTGCCCCAGAGGAGATGAAAATGGGAGGAGGGAGGGGAAGGTTATCTTACGGACTTTTTACAGCCAAAATCATCAAGGCCAAAATTCCTTCCTAGAAAAGTCAGTGGCAAGATTCAGACAATTCCCACCAGTCCAACAACTCCCAGACCTGGGTGATTAGCATCATCCCTGACATTGAACAATAAGAGTCACTCCACCCACCCCCAGGGAGCAGAGAAATCTCAGGACCTCTTGCTTTAAAAATATTCTGATGAGAGGCATCAAGGAAGAAAACCAAAGTGTTAAATATTTGTCTAGAGGATTGGAGCACCTTGGTTGCTGTGGTTTCAACTAATTTAATTCTCCTTGTTCCTCATCTTAGAGAATAAAGGAGTTTCAGGTATACCTGTTAAAATTTTCATATATATATATATATTTATTATACTTTAAGTTCTAGGGTACATGTGCACAATGTGCAAGTTTGTTACATATGTATACATGTGCCATGTTGGTGTGCTGCACCCATTAACTCGTCATTTACATCATTTACATTAGGTATATCTCCTAATTCTATCGCCCCCTCCCCCCACCTCACAACAGGCCCCAGTGTGTGATGTTCCTCTTCCTGTGTCCAAGTGTTCTCATTGTTCAATTCCCACCTATGAGTGAGAACATGCAGTGTCTGGTTTTTTGTCCTTGCGATAATTTGCTGAGAATGATGGTTTCCAGCTTCATCCATGTCCCTACAAAGGACATGAACTCATCCTTTTTTATGGCTGCATAGTATTCCATG